>NC_000011.10:33696363-33847878 GCF_000001405.40 Homo sapiens | reverse complement strand
ATTTGAATATAGACAGAATCTTTCCTGTATTACCCAGTGATTAAAGAGAAAAGATGGCCGGGCACAGTGCCTCATGCCTGTAATCCCAGCAGTTTGGGAGGCCAAGACAGGTGGATCACTTGAGGTCAGGAGTTTGAGACAAGCCTGGCCAACATGGTAAAACACCGTCTCTATCAAAAATACAAAAACTAGCCGAGCAAGATGGTAGGTGCCTGTAATCCCAGCTACTCAGAGGCTAAGTCAGAAGAATTGTTTGAACCCAGGAAATGGAGGTTGCAGTGAGCCCAGATCATGCCATTGCATTCTAGCCTGGGTGACAGAGGAAGACTCTGTCTCAAAAATAGAGAGAGAGAAAAGATAGTTGGTCTTAACTGTTGGGCAACTGGGGTCATTAGAAAGGAATGTGAATCTTCTGATTCTACTTACCATGGCTTATAATGAAACCCAGGTGAACAGGAAGGCACAAACCCAGCATCACCCAACAGGGGAAGGTGAAATAAGTCAGATCCAGATGTGCACAAAGATGAAGTAAAACCTAAGCTGGAGAATGTTTAGTTTGGGCAAA
Organism: Homo sapiens; assembly: GCF_000001405.40. Lineage (NCBI taxonomy): Eukaryota > Metazoa > Chordata > Mammalia > Primates > Hominidae > Homo > Homo sapiens. The sequence goes on along the minus strand of NC_000011.10, from coordinate 33,847,313 downwards.
ATGGAAGCCTAAGATAACCACAACACCTATTAATGATGAATAAAACGTATCCAGATACCTAGACGCAAAATTGAGCTGCAGGAAAAACAAATATAGAAAACATCAGGTCCAGAAATAAATAGAGGTGAGAAACATTGCATAAAGCTGGCACTGAGATGCCCTGGGGAGTTACTGGCCACTACCATCTGGCTCCATGCAGGGAGAATACATTGAGGATTGTTGTGAATGGGTGGTTGGAAGTGAGAATCCTACATAAGGCAGAGCTAGCAAAGGGCTACATCCACAGTGAAGGGGTGGACTGGGAAAAAAAATCTATCCACAGGCACAGAGTGATGTCAAGGAAGTTTGCAACCTCTGTCTAGATTCTGGATGAGAGAAAACAAAAGTTTTCCCTGAGAATGCAAAACCTCAAGACACCATTTATACAGGTTCTGAATGTATAATAAATGCACAGCCTGGGAATCACCACGCCCAATCCAATAAATTATTTATAAAAATTTACATTAAGCCAGTGATTTCCTCTGTCTCAATAGGAAGAGGAAAACACAATTATGAACTTTACCAAAATTTTAAAATGTTGCTTTTGCAAAGATTCCATCAAGAAAAAGAAATGGCAAGGTATTCCTCATGGAACAAAAAAAGAGAAAATCATGTATAAAACAGAATAGTCACTCAAAAGAATTTTGAAATGGCAAGGTATAGACTGGGAGAAAATACTTGCAAAACACGTGTCTGAAAAAAGACTTGTACTTGTATCCTGAATATGTAAAGAGTGATTACATCTCAGTAATAGAAAACAAATCAATTAAAATGGGGAAATGATTTTAATAGATGCTTCACTAAAGAAGACACACAAATGGATGACTGTACCTGTTTTTTTCCTTTTTATGGCAAAATACAACATGAATTTTACTGACAAATACGACATGAATGGGTCTCAAAAGCATTGCACTAAGTGAGAGCAGCCAGTTAGGCACACTAAACTCTGCATTATTCCATTCATATGAAATTCCAGAAAAGGGGAAACTATAGTGACCAAAAACAAATCTGTGATTGTCAAGAGCTAGAGATAAGGGTTGGATGGGGCTGTTCTATATGGTGACTGTGGTTATGATTACATAACTGTAAATTTGTTAAAACTCATTGAATTGACTGCTTAAAATGGGTGGATTTTATCATATGTAAATTATACCTCAATAAAGCTTATTTTTACAAAACTCATGGTCTCTTACTGGACAGAGCTAGAAATATATAAACATACAGTCTTCTGTACCCTTTGACCATAAACAACGGCTGTGTGACACTGGACAATTTAACTTCTCTGGGTCTTGTCTCCTCAGGTGTAATGTGGGGATAATAACAGAGTATTACATATTGTTATGAGGACCAAATTAAATAACACAGTATATATAAAGCACTTTGCACTGTGCCTAGCAGGCCATCCAATCACCAACTCAGGGACACTTTCTTTTCTTTTATTCTTTTCTTTTTTTGTGTAATTTAAAAAATATTTTTATAAAAAAGTGGAAACAAGGTCTTGCTATGTTGTCCAGGTGGGTCTCGAACTCCTGAGCTCAAGCAATCCTCCCATCTCAGCCTCCCAAAGTGCTGGATTACAGGCATGAGCCACCCTGTGCCCCACCCTCAGGGACACTTTCTAGGCCTCTTCCCTTTGTTCAGATTCACTCAAGAGCCTTCTCAACAGCCTCAAAACTCATTCAATGACCTCCTGGTCTAGCTTGGCTTCTCTCCTAGTTTCCCTGCAGGAAGAGTTCCCTAGAAGTGTCCAGTTGCCTGGGTAATCATTTTGTTCATTTTGTTTTTGTTGTTTGTTTGTTTTGTGGGGCTTTTTTTTTCTTTTTCTTTTCCTTTTTTTTTTTTTTTTGAGACAGAGTCTCGCTCTGTCACCCAGGCTGCAGTGTGCAGTGGCGTGATCTCGGCTCACTGCAACCTCTGCCTCCCGGGTTCAAGCAATCTTCCCACATCAGTCTCCTGAGTAGCTACCAGTTGCCTGGATAATTTAATTTCAGAATGTTGACATCGCATTCTGGGCTATAATTTAACCTTGCCTGAGTTTGGTTTGTATGGGTTGCCCTCCCATAGCCTGTCTTCTCTGGGACACTGATAAGATCATACATCTAGACTTGCAAGGCTGGGAACCTGACTCCCTAGATTGTGTGGAACGAGAGAGGCCCAGCTGAGTAGATTCTCCCCTGGCACCATTTCTGGATCACTATGGTCGAGTGGTAATACAAGATGGTAGCAATAACTGCCAGAGGGCTGACCTACCCATTACTTTTGGTCTTTCAAAGTATTTTTGGGTACAAGAAGTACAGTTTACCTTGCTTGGGACACACACACACACACACACACACACACACACACACACACACACATGAAAAAAGAGAGAAAAAGAGAAACCCTAAGTAAATATGATTTCATTTTCTTGAAGAAACTCCTTAATATTGGAATAGGCATAACTCTGGATTCTTTTGAGTGGCTATTCTGTTTTATCCATGATTTTCTCTTTTTTTGTTCCATGAAGAATTCCTGACCTTGAAGTGAAATGGATATTTTGGTTGTATTCTCACTCTCAGTGACAGCAAATAGGAAAGAGAGAATACATTCTCTACTGGTGTTTCCCACTCATTCCTGTAACTTGGCACATACAGAATGGAATACAGCAGTACGGCGGGGAAGCTGCTGGGGCCCAACAGCCTTGCCAAGGGTGTCGATGATTTAGGCTCGCTGTAACCCCTTCTAGGCACACCAGTATTCCCCTGTGCACCAGTGGGTTGCTCTGGCTTGAGGAGCAACAGCTGCAAAGTAAGCAATTGCTAATTAGGAAGGAATCCTGTTCTCCATGCAGGCCGGTTGCAATCCTAACTCTGTAGCAAGAAAGACACCTTCATCCAGACAGGTCAGTGTGAACCTGTGACCACGTTCCTGGACAGTCTTCATGAAAGTGAACAGATACCACTGCTGAATTTATCTGTGCTCCTTGGACATTGGCTTTTTGTCCAAGGTTTTACCCTGAATTCATGAATTTAGGAGAAAATCTGGATCTAGGGGCATGCCGTTGATGATTTTTTATCTGCTACTTCCATAGCAGAGACAGGACATCTTATACGTTATTTCTTAGCAATTGTAAAGCTAGAAGAATAATTTTTATCTGTCTACATACCTCACAGTGTTGTTGTGAGAATAAATGAAACATTGGAACCATACCCGTTACACAGTAAATGCTATGTAATTGGTTGCCATTACTATTTACATGTTCACATTCTGAGAACTAAGTATTTATGAGGTTAAGAAAAAGTCAAAATGTTGTTTTCCAAATTCTTTTTAAAAGACTGATTTTTGTAGGAAAGGTGGAGTCAAAATACCTGGCAATTTTGCCAATGCTACCATTAGTAATAAATTATCAAATTAGATAACAGAATCAGGGAATTGGGGATCTGGAGAGGAAAGCCCAACACTTTTCCTTTTCTAGATGGAAAAAAGGAGATCCAGAGATAGCAAGCCACAACAGCAAATCTGAAATCATAACTAAGAGCTCACAGTTCTTGTCTAGAGCTCTTCTCCAGAATGCTATGGCCTAGACAAAAAAAAAAAAAAAAAAAAAAAGACTTAAAAAAATAAAGTGCTGGCAGGGGTCGGTGGCTTAAGCCTATAATCCCAGTACTTTATAGACTGGGGCAGGCAGATCACCTGAGGTCAGGAGTTCAAGACCAGCCTGGTTCCAACATGGCGAAACCCCATCTTTACTAAAAATACAAAAATTAGCCAGGCATGGTGGTGGGTGCCTGTAATCCCAGCTACTCAGGAGGCTGAGGCAGGATAATTGCTTGAACCCAGGAGGCGGAGGTTGCAGTGAACCAAGATTGTGCCATTGGACTCTGGCCTGGGAGACAGAGCGACACTCTGTCTCAAAAATAAATAAATAAATAAATAAAAAATAAAGTGCTTCAGAGAAGCTAAATGCTCTACCAACAAGAGCACTATATTTGGGCAAATGAAGTCAGAATCTGCTTATCAGTTCTTCTAATGGAAATGACAACCAGCACAAGCAAAATGCCTTATGATTTGGAAGATAAAAGAACCCAGTGCTCACCAGATCTCCTGTTATTCCTGATGGAACCCTCCCAGCTATTACACCTTGGAAAAATATTAACGTGTTCAGCCAACAAAGACAAATTTAAAAGCAAAGAAAGCAAGTGATGCTGTACGTTGCAATGCCACCCGATATTCAAATTGTACCCTCCTGAGCTGTGTCTAATGTCAGCATCATTTTTTTAAAGAGACATATCAGTTTCCGTCAAGGTTTTTATTTCACTTTACCCATTCTTCACTGCCTGAACTGGGGCAAAAGAAAGGAAGAATTATCAGCTACATTACTTTTTAATTTAATGCCCTTGAGTAAGGGCAGTAGCAGCGAGGCATAATAGAGATTTCAGGGGGACGGCAAAGGGAGAACAGTTGTTCGCGCAACCTCTTCCATGGATGCTGGTTGCAGCAGCTGTCTCTGCCATCATTCTCGCAAGGTAATGCCTTGCTTCCCATTGTCATTGTATCTCAGAATCAAATTATTTGAATTCCAGACACATCGACAGCACACTGAAGGGCCCCTGCCAATTTTTGCAGCTTGCTCGGAAAAGAGCATCATGAAGCATTACTCATTTATACGAAGCCCAGGCTCCTGTTGTAAATCCAGCATGCAGGACTGCCTCCAGGTGCATCCCTTCAGCTTAGCTCTCTAATCCTGTAACCCTTTACCACCAGCTCCTTCCTGGAAGCAGGTGCGCCACATCCCCGTGCCAGTCCTTCCCCCTCTTGGAGCCTGTGTTCAGTGGATGGAGTCCCGGCTGCCAGAGCTGACCTGGAGACAGAAACCAGCTATTTTTCCTGTCAGGTCTGGGGGTGAAAAACCCCAGGCACAATACAGTGAGTTGTCCCCACAGCTACCCCTCCAATATTGTCATACAGATGAAGTCTGGTTAAAATCCACATCTGCCTCACAATAGTGAAGTTGCTGATAATAGCGCATCTCTTGTCGGAAGATGAGGGATCTAGTTAGCAAAAGTGTTTATGAAGAATTTTTTTATCACTTAGAAAAAAATCTCACAAAATAAAGGAAAAAAGAATATGTGTAGTATAATCTCAAATGTTATATATGTTTTCAATATGCATGTAAGTACACACACAAACATATATATGTATATATATTATATTTAGAGAGATATAGATATTTTTTGACACAGGGTCTCGCTCTGTCACCCAGGTTGAAGTACAGTGGCACAATCATGGTTCATTGTACCTAGGTTGCTGCCCAGGCTCAAGTGATCCTCCCACTTCAGCCTCCCAAGTAGCTGGCACTACAGGCATGCACCACTACACCGAGCTAATTTTTTTTTTTTTTTTTTTTTTTTTTTTTTTGTAGAGATGGGGTTTCACCATGCTGTCCAGGCTGGTCTCGAACTCCTCGGCTCAAGCAATCTGCCTGCACTGGCCTCCCAAAGTGCTGGAATTGCAGGCATGAGCCACCATGCACCCAGCCACAAACATATTTAACTAGAAAATACAACAAAAATGGACAGTGATTATTTTATGTTTCTTCTTTACTTTTTTCTATATTTTTCTAAAACAAGCAGATACTGCTTTTATAGTCAGGAAAATGAATGTTGTTTATAAAGATAATTTCCGTCAAGAGTGTTTTTAAACAAACAACTGTTTTCAAAAGTTTCGCTACACAGTCAATTTTTATCCCCAGCCCTGTAAGTGAAGGGTCCCCATCCACTGTCCCCTGGTTAGAAGAGTTTTCCCAAGGGGTTCTTTTGACACAAGTCCGGGTTTAGGAGAGTTTTGTCCAGCAGGAACAAGAGTGACCTTATTAGTCCAGTCAGATTCTCTTACTAATTGAGCTACACAGAGATCAGTAGTAGAGGCAGAAAAAGAAGGAAAAGGGAAAGGAGGAGGGAGAAGGTGGGTTATTTGAATGGCTGGAGTGCAGACTACTGGGGAAGGGATAAAGAAACTCTTAATATAATAGCTGGAGCTGCCTTGGACCCTGGACAAGCTTCCAATTCCAGGGTTCTATGCCACGCAGGTCAATAGTTCCTATTTTTCCCATGAAGACTTGGTAATTGGTCTTCCTAAGTACCCAGAAGGCAGATCCATGGCCAAGAATCCTGTTTTCCTTGGTACCACAGGTATCCTTTTAACAATCTATCTGGTGGACCATTAAAATCCTCTCCTGGGTCAGACTATATATGGATTATTTGAACCACACGAGCAATTTCAGGATATCAAGAGCTTGAGACCAGGCAGATGAGTTCCACTGGTAATTTTATTCTTTATTTAGTAAACTATCCAAACCAAGGCTATCACTAGCCCATATGGCATTTCGTACAAATTTGAAAAAGCTAATCTTTCCTCAAGTTAAAAAGTTATATTATTTATTTCTCAATAATAACAAGGACTGGCAGTAATTCCATGTAAATTATGCAAGCAAATAATTCATTATAAAATATTGAAAAATTCAAATGATTAATTATAATATTAAGAACTCAAAGTCACTTGGATTTAATAATTTGTTGTAAAAAAGACATCTTGTCTTTGTGGAAGTAAAATTCTTTTTGACAGTTTTAATTCTTACTTGTTTTATTGCTTATATTTTATGGAAATGATCATCAGATTGGTGGACTTTTCTTCTTGATTGTAGGCCTTACATTGGTTGTTTTGTTTTGTTTTGTTTTTGAGACAGGGTCTTGCTCTGTCCCCAGGCTGGAGTGCAGTGGCGCGATCACAGCTCACTGCAGGCTTGACCTCCTGGTCTCAAGTGATCCTCCCCACTCTGCCTCCCCAGTAACTGGGACTACAGGCACACGCCACGGTACCCAGCTTAATGTATTTAATTTTGATAAGCCACATTCTCCATTGATATTGCTATTGGCAAAATTAGTTGTATCTTGAAAGGCATGAAGTTATTTGGAAGTGGATCTAGTAAGTTATTGTAACAAAGACTTTGCAATATTTTAGTGAAAGAACATTAGATTTTAAAAGACAACTTCAGGTTTTTAGGGCTTTGTACATTGATGAATGATCTATAAAAGCCTTTAATATGCTTGTCAGTCAATTTCAATTGTACATTTTTAACGCAGCCTTGGTACTTCATATTCACAGCAATTCTTCAAATCACATGCGATATCTGGAACCTTCCTACTCCACATATCCAGCATCAAAGCATCATCAGGGGCTTGTTAGGAATGCAGAATTTCAGGTCCCAACCCAGAGTTACTGAATCTGAATTTGCATTTTAATAAGATCCCCCGCATTCTATATGCACAGGAACATTTGAGAAATACTAATCTAAGACACAGAAAAGACCATATAGTCCTTCTGCAATATAAATCTTTCCTTTAAAGAAAATATGACTGTAACCTATAGAGAGAAAAATAGAAATAAATTTGGGATCACAGGTGGATTGACTGTAGAAATGACATTTGAAATTAATCTTCCTGGCCAGGCACGGTGGCTCACACCTGTAATCCCAGCACTTTGGGAGGCTGAGGCGAGCGGATCACCTGAAGTCAGGAGATCAAGACCAGCCTGGCCAACATGGTAAACACTGTCTCTACTAAAAATACAAAAATTAGGTGAATATGGTGGGGCACTCCTGTAATCCCAGCTACTCAGGAGGCTGAGGTGGGAGAATACCTTGAGCCCAGAGGCGGAAATTGCAGTGAGCAGAGATTGCGCCACTGCACTCCAGCCTGGGTGACAAAGTGAGACTTCATCTCAAAAAAAAAGAAAGAAAAAAAAGAAATTATTCTTCCTCTTCTTTCTGGTATTTTTATATTAGAAAAATTGGGCTTAATGTTGAGAAACTCTGCAATTTGTTTAGCAGCTTAATGTTGAGAAACTCTGCAATTTGTTTAGCAGCAATAATATCTTTGTGTGAATATCATAAGTTAATTTTTCCTAAAAAATTTTCTAAGCCCATAATGTTATGCTTTCAAGGGAATTATATATACTGACTTTGGGTTCCTGTCTAAGTTTGCATATAACATTAACTTTATCTTTACTCCTAATTTAGGCTGAACAATGCATTTTAAAGAAGATATTTTCAGTATACTTCTGACTTGCATTTTAGAATCTACATTTTTATTCATATCATCAACATGCATTGCATACTCTCTCTAATTAAGTTCTAGTAGCAAGATGGCATCTCCTCAAGTTTCCCATCCTATATTCAACAATGATTTAAAATTTTATGTTCCATAAATGCCTTTACAATATATTCCAACATTTGGTTGAAGCAAAAGAGTTAGTTATATCATATTTACAAGAAAAAAACAAACAATCCCATCAAAAAGTGGGCAAAGGATATGAACAGACACTTCCCAAAAAAAGACATCAATGCAGCCAACAAACATATGAAAAGCTCAACATCACTGATCATCAGAGAAACGCAAATCAAAACCAAAATGAGATACCATCTCATGCCAGTCAGAATGGCAATTATTAAAAAGTCAGGAAACAGGTGCTGGTGAGGCTGTGGAGAAATAGGAACGCTTTTACACTGTTGGTGGGAATGTAGATTAGTTCGACCATGGTGGAAGACAGTAGGGCGATTCCTCAAGGATCTAGAACCAGAAATACCATTTGACCCAGCAATCCTATTACTGGGTATATATCCAAAGGAATATAAATCATTCTGCTATAAAGACACATGCAGACGTATGTTTATTGAAACACTATTTACAATAGCAAAGACATGGAACCAACCCAAATGCCCATCAATGATAGACTGGATAAAGAAAATGGGGTACATATACAGCATGGGATACTATGCAGCCATGAAAAGGAATGAGATCATGTCCTTTGCAGGGATATGGATGAAGCTGGAAGCCATCATTCTCAGCAAACTAACACAGGAACAGAAAACCAAACACCGCATGTTCTCACTCATAAGTGGGAGTTGAACAATGAGAACACATGGACACAGAGAGGGGAACAACACACACCAGGGCCTGTTTGGGGGTTGGGGGTGAGGGGAGGGAACTTAGAGGACGGGTCAATAGGAGCAGCAAACCACCATGGCACACGTATACCTGTGTAACAAACCTACACGTTCTGCACATCTATCCCTTTTTTTTTTTTAGCAAAAAAAAAAGAGTAGTTATATAATTTCTTAGATGATATAAAAAAATTCAGTGCTGTAAAATAGATATTTGCTGCATCATTCAATATCAAATGTAAAGACACATAACAAAAAGTATAAAATACTCTAGACCTTTTTTAGGATCCTCTGTTGCAATCCATTATGATTTCTATGCATACTTGTGGCATTGCTGTATGTAACTTTTCTTTACATTTGCAAGTAGCCTTCTGAAAGTTTGTACATGCTTTCTTTTGTCATCTACTGGACAACCTCCCTCACCCAAATATCCACATATGAAATGTTTGTGTTCTAATAGTTTCATGTGTTCTTTATGTGTAGTTCTAATAGCTTTATGTGTTCTACCTGGCTTATACCAGAGACTGTATCTGAAATAATAAAGATAAATAATCTTTTTCAAAATTAGTTCATTCATTACTTCTGCTATCAGTTTAACTATTTGGTTTTTATATTTTATTCCTTAAAACTGTGTAACATTATTTGGTATCAATGTGCCATATTTTATTGAATTTTTGATAGTTTTTGCTAAGGAAGACAATTTTCCCTCCCTTCCTTCCTTGTTTCCTTCCTTCCTTCCTTCCTTCCTTCCTTCCTTCCTTCCTTCCTTTCTTTTTTTGAGACTGAGTCTCACTCTGTTGCCCAGGCTGGAGTGCTGTGGCACGATCTGGGCTCACTGCAACCTTTGTCTCCCGGGTTCAAGGCTGAGGGCCTGCCTCAGCCTTCCGAGTAGCTGGGACTACAGGCACGCACCACCACACCTGGCTAATTTTGTACTTTTAGTAGAGATGGGGTTTCGTCATGTTGGCCAGGCTGGACTTAAACTCCTGACCTCAAGTGATCCGCCCACCTTGGCCTCCCAAAGTGCTGGCATTACAGGCGGGAGCCATCATGCCCTGCCGGAAGACAATTTGCATCACTGCACTAGTAGTTTCCTGGATAATCTTCTCCCTAGATGTTGTCTTGTCAAAGCCGAGTCATGTATATTACGTGCACATGATATTGTTTCTCTTTATCATAGCATCTTTATCACTTTATATTATATATATTTCAAATCTTTGAATTCTTAACACCATTGAAGTGCATTTACCCTCTGTTTATTAGTATTATGTGATAAGTACTGCCAACCCATTCTAACATCTTTATTCTTCAGTTGACACTTTTTTTTCATCCCTGAAGAATTTGCAATATAGAGAAAACACAGAAACCATTAAGGTAGAATAATAAGGGGCGTGGTCGGTTTGACATTGGTAAGAATTTATGGGCCGGGCGCGGTGGCTCACGCCTGTAATCCCAGCACTTTGGGAGGCCGAGGCGGGTGGATCATGAGGTCAGGAGATCGAGACCATCCTGGCTAACAAGGTGAAACCCCGTCTCTACTAAAAATACAAAAAATTAGCCGGGCACGGTGGCGGGCGCCTGTAGTCCCAGCTACTCGGGAGGCTGAGGCAGGAGAATGGCGTGAACCCGGGAAGCGGAGCTTGCAGTGAGCCGAGATTGCGCCATTGCAGTCCGCAGTCCGGCCTGGGCGACAGAGCGAGACTCCGTCTCAAAAAAAAAAAAAAAAAAAAAAAAAATTTATGAATAAGTAATTTCTGAAAACTTCCTACCTGTACTGATAGTAGTTAAATACGATGGAAAGTTAAAATTCTTATGTATACATTTTGTAGACAAATTTCAAATAGAGTGTTCTATGGACAAAAATTCAAATTACATAGCCAAGTACCTCGATAGGGAAAAGAAAATCTAGTTTAATGTTTTCTTTTTCTCTTCCACTTTTTTCTCAAGTTATGTCTGACATAAATATTGAAATTAAATCCACATCCTAATTTAGCATTTTTTGCCTCCTGATTCTATCTTCTCCAAAAATATATTCAGTAGTCTAATTGATTGTCTTTGATTTCCTTCCATGTTTTCTGATTCTGAAATTAATTTTAAAAACTCCTTTGTAGTATCTGAGCAAAAAATCAATGGTATTTTATCTCGGAACTTACATGTACATAACATACAAAATATATAATTAACAGACTGCTAAATATTATCAAGCATTAATATTTTTATTAACAGGATATGCACAACAAGCAATTTCCATTATAGAACTAGCCAGATCACGAAGTGGTAATCTCTAATTTATGTGCATGTAATTCATTTTGTGGATTATCTGAGTGTATGTCATTTGATGGTGATTAATCTAATAATGAAAGTTCTTGTAGATTTAAACGAGGAATTCAGGAATAGCTTTTGGGTGCAGCGAACACAGCAGATAATGTGAAATGCAGTATGAAATATTAATTAGCCAGAGCTCTAACAACAATAGGGATTTAAAAAACATTTAAACACTCACCTACCAATAGATAAAGTGATTTCTTGTTTAGAAGTAAAAGTTATTTTCAGATGATGTTAGACATGTTGATTTCGAATACTGACTCATTTTTCCTTTGTAAATGGACTCTGAACAAAATATAGTAAACATCTTAAAACAAGACACTTTACTGCCATCTGCCGGGAAGTTGTAAGAAACATACAAATCGTCAATCTTTCCAATAAACAAAATAAAAATAAACATATAAAAATTATCACAATAATAAAGCATCTCTGATATGAACGGCACCTTGTTGAATGAGGAGTGCTTGTGCAGTGCCCAACATAGATCATCATGCCTAGATTTTACTATAGCTGCTTTCAAGTCTCTGTCAGAGAAGAGAAATTCCAGTTGGAGAAACATTCTTGAGGTCCAGTCTGGTGTTGCTCATTCATACTGTTGGTAGAAAACAGGGGAGGGGCCACAGTCTATAATTCAACTTCTGCAGAAGGCTGTCTACTCTCGTGAGTCAGACTGGGAGCTGGAGACTTTCATCACTTGCCCCAGGACAGAAGGCAGAATCTTCTCAAGGGTAAATCCATTGACTCTGCAGAAAGTGGGAGAAGGGGAGGAGTTAAACCCAGGAAAACTTTTTAAGGGAAAAAAGACTTGTCCCTTAAATTAGGGAGCTTGCAGATGAGCCAGAAGGATCCCTAAAGAACTTTAAGTGGAGGTAGGGGAGGGAGCTTTACGCATTTTGATTATAATTCTTCAGTGCAAACTCACAACTTCTTACTAGAAAGGGTGACATGAGCTCTGGCATGCTTTGCTTAGAAACAATGGTCAAGAATCCATTACTATTTTCTATTCCCAGAAGACAAATTCTCAGATGGAAAGGTGGTAAGACATCACCCTTATACACCCTCAGGTACTTGAGGTAAATCTTAAATGAGTCTGTATTTCTTGTGATGCAAATAGCAAAACTTAATATTAAACCAATAACTAATGCAGGGCTGAATGTCTTCCATTACCTCAGACAGTACCTGGCCCACAAGTGGCACTATCCCAAAGTGCTAAGTGAGCAATGATGATGTAGAATTAGGGAAACCAGAGAAGACTTCCAGGAGAAGGTGCTAGATCTTGACAAGGGGGCAGAATTGAGTTAGATCTCGACAAAGGGGCAGAACATTAGCAGGCAGAGACAGCAAGGAAAGGCCGCAGAGGTGTATATAGCCCTATGAAAAGCAAGACTCATAAAGTGGACAAAGAACTCGAACCATCGAGTGGACACTGGAGACAGGAGAATGTCAGGACAGCATGGTGACAGTGTATAGTGAGGAAGCTGAGATGTGGCAGGGGCCACAGTTTTGACACTGTGCATGGAAGCCAATTTGCAAGGGAGAATAATGATTGAATGGGAGAGGAGGGAAGGAAAACTAGAGAAGAGGAGGTTAGTTAAGCTACTCTCTCTCTTAATTTTTCAGTAAAGTAATATGTATATGTATATATTTCAAAGTGCACATAAATATATATAGCTTGATGAATAATTGATTTATTTACTTCTAACAACATAGATTAATTTTCAGATCTACTTTTTTGAAAAGGAGTTTTAAAAGATGGTAAAAGGAGAAAAATGGGATGGTAGCTTGAGTGGAAGCATCAATGGAAAGGAATTTTTAGGGCTGGTCTTGGTGGCTCACGCCTGTAATCCCAGCACTTTGGGAGGCTGAGTCGATTGCACTCTAGTCACCCAGGCTGGAGTGCAATGGCACGATCTTGGCTCACTGCAACCTCTGCCTCCCAGGTTCAAGCGATTATCCTGCCTCGGCCTCCCAAGTAGCTGGGATTACAGGTGCCCACCACCACACCCGGCTAATTTTTGTATTTTTTAGTAGAGACAGGGTTTCACCATGTTGGCCAGACTGGTCTCGAACTCCTGACCTTGTGATCCACCTGCTTCGGCCTCCCAAAGTGCTGAGATTGCAGGCATGAGCCACTGCGCCCAGCCCATAGACAGTTGTGAGCACGAACACTGAGCCAGACACACTCCCTAAGGTGTTATATGGTAATTCATTTGCTCCCCATAATAATGAGAAAGGCAATATTTATACGCCCATTTTACAGATAAAGAAATTAGCTGTGGGACTTATGGAAGTTAACTTTTTGATGTTTCAGTTTCCTTATCTATAAAATGCTAGCATTTAGAACATTGATAAGATTCATAGAGCCCATTCATTAGTTCAGCAAATTTTACCGAGCCCCTACTATGTGCCAGGCACTATTCTAGGCACTGGAGAAAGAGCAGGAAAAATGTTTTATTAGAAATACATTATATATATATATGGTTGGTGCAAAGGTAATTGCAATTTCAGACCATGAATTTGAAATCATTATAACTAGGCTCAAACACATCTTTATTCGTAAGAATAGGAACCATTACAATCAACACATTTTTACCAATGAGAAATGTTTGCTTATTGCTGTAGTGTAAAAATCCATACTTCAACATTTGAACTCTTGGAAAGCATTTTCTGCATCCTGCTGGTTGTGGAAGCGTTTTCCTTGCAAAAAGTTGTCGAGATGCTTGAAGAAGTGGTAGTCAGTCGACGAGAGGTCAGGTGAATATGGCGGATAAGGCAAAACTGTGTAGCCCAATTCCTTCAACTTTTGTTCAAAGTGTTGGTTGTGTGACATACGGCTGGGCATTGTCGTGGAGAGGAATTGGGCTCTTTCTGTTGACCAGTGCCGGCTGCAGGCATTGCAGTTTTTGGTGCAGCTCATCGATTTGCCGAGCATACTTCTCAGATGTAATGGTTTCTCTGGGATTCAGAAAGCTATAGTGGATCAGACCAGCAGCAGCCCACCAAACAGTGACCATGACCTTTTTTTTGGCGCAAATTTGGCTTTGGGAAGTGCTTTGGAGCTTCTTCTGGGTCCAGTCACTGAGGTGGTCATCGCCAGTTGTCGTATAAAATCGACTTTTCGGCGCACATCACAATCCGATTGAGAAATGGTTCGTTGCTGTTGCGTAGAATAAGAGAAGACGACACTTCACAACGATGTTTTTTCTTTAAACTTTCACTCCGCTCATGAGGCACCCACTTATCGAGCTTTTTCATCTTTCCAATTTGCTTTCAGTGCCGAACAACAGTAGGATGGTCGACGCTGAGTTTTTCGGCAACTTCTCATGTAGTTGTAAGAGGATGAGCTTCAGTGATGGCTCTCAATTAGTCATTGTCAGCTTCCGACGGCTGGCCACTACATTCCTCACCTTCAAGGCTCTTGTCTCCTTTGCAAAACTTCTTGCACCACCACCGCACTGTATGTTTGTTAGCAGTTCCTGGGCCAAACGCACTGCTGATGTTGCGAGCTGTCTCCGCTGCCTTACAACCCATTTTGAACTCAAATAAGAAAATCACTCGAATTTGCTTTTTGTCTAACATCATTTCCATAGTCTAAAATAAACATAAAATAAACTAGCAAAAAAACATAAAGCGAGAAATGCCCATTAAAATGATGTATACGGTAACCACATTTATTTACATTCTTAAATGTAAATAAGAATTATGTTCTTAATTTTATCTTTTCTTGCCTTATGTTTTATTCCAATATCAAACGGAAAATTCTAACAATGCAAAAACCGCAATTACTTTTGTACCAACCTAATATCTATATATATATATATACACACATGAATAATTTGTTATATAATTTGATTTTTTTTTTTTTGAGACAGAGTCTTGCCCTGTCACCCAGGCGGGAGTGCAGTGGTGCGATCTCTGCTCACTGCACCCTCTGCCTCCCAAGTTCAAGAGATTCTCCTGTCTCAGCCTCCTGAGTAGTTGGGATTACAGGTATGCACCACTATGCCTGGCTAATTTTTGTATTTTTAGTAAAGATGGGGTTTTTCCACGTTCGCCAGGCTGGTTTCAAACTCCTGACCTCAGGTGATCCACCTGCCTCGGCCTCCCAAAGGGCTGGGATTATAGGCGTGAGCCACAGCACCCAGCCTAATTTGATTTTTTAAAAACCCAAATATAAGCTTCATATTTATTTCTGCAAAATTCCGTCTACTGGATTACACAGTGTCAATTACAGCCTAACTTTCAGTTGAAAAGCTAGAATCTTCAGAGATTCCCCCAGGGGCCATGGAGGATGGGCTGTTGAGGGTCCCTGATTTCCTCTGCTCTTCCAGAGAAGAGCCACCTGCTAGTCTTCTCCCTCTGAGAGAGAGATTAGGCTTCCATGGCAGTGGAGAAGGTAGAGGGGGCACGAGAGATAACTTCCTGAACACCTCTGCCTCTAACTTCCTACATTGTCCTCTCTGATCCTCATACAGCCAGGAGTGGTGAGTCAAGCAGGTGCTATTGTGCCTGATTCACAAGTGAAGTTACTGAGTTATAACGAGGTGAAGGGTCAAGTTCTAGGCACTTCTCCAACTGTAATGTACATGAGGATCACCTGGGGATCTTGTTAAAATGCACATTCTGATTCAGTGGGTTGGGTGTGGGGCCTAAGATTCTGTATTACTAAGAAGCTCTTGGGTGATGCTGGAGACCACGAGCCTCTCGGTGAAACAGCAGGTGAGATGCTTTAGGGCCAGTTCTCTGGATAGAGGTGGGAGTCGCAATCACATTGCCCCTAGCTCCTCCTGCCACTAAATTTGGCCACTTCTATTTGGAAGTTGGGAGAGGATTATCCTATTGCAGTACTGTGTCTAGAGGGGAAGGTGACTCATGTCCCCTGCTCCTTCCCCAGGCAGAACTCAGAGTTCTTTGTGTCTTGTCTGCTCCTTGCCTGAGCTTTTTGGCTATTTCTTTTTCTAAACTTGAATAAAATACAACAGCAAGAAAATAGCAATGACTCCTGTTGGAGTCCAGTATAGCTGAGATCACCTGATTTTAAGTCGGGCTCAGGTGAGGCAACTTGTTATAATGGAAAGCTTTTAGCTTCCAGAGTTAGACACCTGGGTCCAAATCCTGGTTCTGCCCCTTACAAAATATAAATAGAAGGAAAATGTACTTAAATTTCTTGGCTGGGTGCGGTGGCTCATGCCTGTAAGCCCAGCACATTGGGAGGCTGAGGCTGGTGGATCATTTGAGGCCAGGAGTTCATGACCAGCCTGTCCAACATGGCAAAACACTGTCTCTACTAAAAATACAAAAATTAGCCAGGCGTGGTGGTGCATGCCTGTAGTCCCAGCCACTCGGGAGACTGAGGTATGAGAACACTTGAGCCTGGTGGGTGGAAGTTGCAGTGACCTGAGATCGCACCACTGCACTCCAGCCTGGGTGACAGAGCGAGAATTTGTCTCTAAATAAATAAATAAATGAATAATAAATTGGCCTCAGCTAAAGTGGCAGACTTCCATCCTGACCCTTACTCTGCCCAATAACCCCACTGGAGGGCAGCCCATTTCAGGTTACCCTGCAACATCACCAGAATTCTCAGAATGCTCAGTCTGCAATTCCAAGTTATTCCAAAGCTAAGTCAGTCTGATGTTCTGGGAAGAGAAGCTGAAAGCCCAGCACTTAGGGGAAGTTTGGCCTCCAGGGCATCCCTACAGGTTGTACTCACTGATGGGTGGCATGGTGTGGGGGATGATGGGAACTCAGTTGGGTCTGAGGACAGAACCTCCCTATCCCTTGATGTTAAGTTAGCCAGAGCACACCACCACCAGCCCACATATGATGCTAAACCTCCTTTCCCAGGCAGCCCACACCAACTTCTTCCAGGAGTCGATGTTTCCTATGGAAAATGGATTAAATAAGAATCTCCTTGAATTCATCAGACAGCCCTGAACTCTGATGTCCTGTTGGTCCTGATCTTGACTCCACCTCTCTCCTTGAGGGAACTGGTGTTCTATGGCTAGGACAGACTCGAATCTGAGACTGGGCACATCTGGGGCTCCAATCCACATGAAGTGAGAGAATAACCGGATAAAAAGTGAGTATAAATTGCCATGTCCAAAACAAAATCAAAGCCAGGCTTTCTGGAGTGGAAAGTGCAGAAGAAACTTGTAAAGGGGAGGCCAAACCTAGAGCTGACCCTCATATTCGTGGATTTGCCTTTGTGTTTTCTCATTGGTTTTCCTGCCACCACCATTTTGGCCACACAGGGGCACTGCTTACCCTTGCTATTCTCTTAACTCCTTCTAAGGAGTCTGCCTCAAGACTGAAAAGTTCGAATAGGACCTTAGCAAATGCCAAGATGACATGTAAACTCAAAGCAACATGGGTTATAAGCATGGCCATGAAGATGCCGAGATCATAGGGTCCAGAGCTCCCCAGTTAACCCAGTTGCGCCGCTGAAAGGGGCAGAACTCAATTCCTCTTGGTGGAACTCGGGAACAAGAAGGGAAATGAATGCGGAGAAAACCAGGATCCAGGTAATCTGATTTCCAAAGGGCCGTTCTATCGCTGCGGCTTGGGGTTCCGCCCAGGTGTCCGCGGGTCCAGGTGTGGGGGCCGCCCCCTCCCCCCGCCTTGGGAGGCGCTGGGACCTGGCTCCGGGACCGCCTGCCGCGCTGACAGGGACGGGCAGCTTTCGAAGCCTGGCTCTTTGGAGGCTCGGTGTGGGGAGTCCCTGGCTGCGGCCCTGGGCTGCAGGGTCACCGCGAGCCGAGCTGGGGCGCCGAGGGGGAGGCACCGACGCCCCGCTTTCGGGACATCGCCGGCCACTTCGTCCCGCGCGAAGGCGAGGAAAGGAGGAGGGACAGGAGGGCGCAGTGGAGGCAGTGACGAGGGGCCTGGCTTGATGCCTTTGTGGGGACCCGGGGAGAGGGGTGGTGATATTAGGTGATGCCCGGGGTACGGGGACCCAAGCCCGGGCCCAAAATTCTCCTCCGCCCCGCTGCGGGGCTCCAGGCTGGCTTTTGAGGCGCCTCCCGGGGACCTCGCGGGATCCCAGGGCCGGGTTTCGTCCAGCGGCTGCTCAGGAATGGGGTCCTCCAACTCGGAGAGGAGAACAAGATCCAGCCAGCCCCGCAGAACAGCAAGGGAGGCCCCTTCCCAAATGCAACGCAGAGAGGGCTTGTTCTCTGCACGGAGACTGATCATGGATTTGACGCTATCTTAAAATGAACATATTACCTACACTAATCAGAAGACCATGTTTTACTTGGCTACATTTACCCAGTAAGAGCCGTACAGTTTAGTTGAAAGATAGTAGCATATGTAGCTAATAGTCCAGGATTCGGGTTTTAGCACCTTTTCTTATAACATATGTGCAGTTTAAGTCTGCGAGCCTTGTTTTGACAATGATGATGAGGAGGATTAATAATAGTTATTAATAATAGTATATAGCAGCTCCTTTTATTGAGCACTTTCTGTGGACCAAGCTCTGTGTTAAGCATTTTACAAACACTAATTTTTTCACTGAACTCTTAAAATTTCCCTGTAAGATTTATTCAGGGACTTTTAGCTTTAAAAAAAAAAAAAGTCATCTTTTCATCATGCAATATATATCATACACCATTATATATGCATATATACATATATTTGGTTGGTATTTCATGATGATTGTGGAAACCCCACAACTTAGAGCTCAGCTTCCCATTGTCTCACTTGGGGAGGCAGCAAGTTGCAACAGAAAGAACTTTAGAGTCAGACAGACCCAGTCAGTCAGCCCCTCTGAGATTGTTTCAACACCTATAAAGCATGTTGAATGTGGCTCCAATGTGAATTGGGGAACTTTCAAAAAATTTTCTTCTTAACAGACTGGGGCCTGGCATCAAGGCTGCTTTGGTTAATATTCCTTCCCCTCCATCCTTTATGCTGGACATGGGTACAGTCTCCATCATCCTGAACCCCCTGTCTAAAGACCTTAGGAGGGATTGTTTTTCTTAAAATGGTCTGGAAGCCTGCAATGCAGGGTGTCAATTTCTTCTGGGGAAGCCTCTTGTCTTCAAGATAAAATGATATCTAGTCACTGAGGAACAGTTTAAAGATATTTTTAAATAAAGCGAAGAAGTTCTAATTATATTAGCAGTATGAAGATAAGTTAGAGCAATAAAGACCTTATTTGGAAGTACCAGCGTAGAAAACAAAGTCTCCGAGGAAGTGACTAGACATAAAGATGCAATCACAAGGCTTGAAGAATCAACCAAATGCAAGGAGAAAATCTGCAGATTAAAAACACAGGAAAAGAGAAAGAAGAAGACACTAGGAAAAAGAGATTGGAAATAGCTCAACATTGGACAAGGTCTTTTGTAAAACACTAAGAGGAGAAAGAGTCCTGAATGAAGCTAACCAGAGCTGGAGAAGCTTAAAGCTGGATTTTCTTTTGTTCAGAAAATATAAGCTTGACTTCAAAAAGACAGATGGTGGGTGTCTCTCAGAGACAATCTCTAACAGAGCTTGAATCTGATGAAGAATACCTGATGTGGAAAGTGAGCAATGAGGTTTTTGGTGGGCGTGAGTCAGAAGAGCAAATACAAAAGCAGGAACCTTGTCGGGTTCTCTTTCCCCACGCGAGGGCCCAAGCTTTGATTCAAATTAATCTTGGCATTTCAACAACACTTAGAGGTATTTTATGAGCCAGAGCAAAAAGTGAGGGATCTGAGAAAAAAGATGATTTGGGGAAGAAAAGAGCAGATGCTCATGACAAATGTTGGTGAGGATGTGAAGAAATTGGAACCCTTATACGTTACTGATCAGATTGTAAAATGGTGCAACCATTTGGAAAACAGATTCTTGGTGTCTTGGAAAGTTAAATATTGAGTTGCTATATGATCCAGCAATTTTACTCCTAGGTACATACCCAAGATAATTAAAAACATATGTCCACACAAAAACTTGCATAAATACATGCAAGTTTTTAATAATATTTATAGCAGCTCTGTTCCTAATAATCAAAAGGTAGAAACAACCTAAATGTCCATCAGTGAATGAGTGGATAAACAAAACTTGGTATATCTATACAATGAAATATTATTTGGCAATAAAAATGAATGAAGTACTGAATATGCTACAACAGGAATAAACCTTGAAAACATTATGCTAAGTAAAAGAAGTCAGACACAAAAGGCCACCTATTGTATGATTCCATTTATACGAAGAATCCAGAATAGGCAAATCTAGGGAGACAAAAAGTAGTAAAATATACTGCTAGGCCATGGCAGGGGCTGAAGCAAAACTTGTTTTCTTTGTAACTCAGATACTCTTTGGGAGAGGCTTTGGGTAAGATAAGGTCTGAAGACAAGAGCAGCCTCTGGGGACCGAGCTGTTCCCTGGGACATGGCAGTTAAAATTACTCCTCTCAAGATTTGATCCAATTCATCTTAGCCTTCAAAGGGAGGAATGGGTGTGTTGAACATTCGTAACATTTTTAGTTCGTGTTCTTTTTCATCAAAGCTTACTTCCAGAAGGAGAGAGAAGTCAGCACACAGGCAGGTCATCTCAGTTTTTGATAGTTTCTAGAACTCTGCCCACTCAGGGATGGACATGTCATCTGTGTACTCATTGTTCATGCTACTCCAGCACCCACACACATCATTTCCATGAGAGCTGGGACTTTGTCCATTTTGTTCACAGCTCTATACAGAACAGTGACTGGCATGTAGGAGGTACTCAACATTTATTTTTAAACTGAGAGGTTGATTATATAGGCCCATTTTGTTGTTCCCAAAAGACACACTTTATTTTGCATGCAGATTTATTTTTGTAATTGTATCTTCAAATATACAGTAAAGGTCTTAAATTGTGAAAGAGTCATGGGTACTACTGTGACTATCAAGATGTGAAGGGTTGAGGCCTGGGCTGGAATTTGGATCCTGTGGAATGAGAACATCCAGCTGTGGGAATCCATCTGAGGCCAGCAGCCCAGAGCCACAATTTCAAAATAAAGAAGGAACACAAGAAATACCCTCATATCTTTGTATAACCATTTGCTGCTACCAGTCAGATTAGAATTAGTGCTCAAAGGTAAAGATAAGCGAATCTAAACAAAATTGACAGTCCTTTAGCCAGCCTACAAAAAAAAAAAAAGAGAGACGATCCAAATAAATAAAATCAGAAATGAAAAAGGAGACATTACAACTGATACTGCAGAAATTCAAAGGATCATTAGTGGCTACTATGAGCAACTATATGCCTACAAATTGGAAAATCTAAAAGAAATGGACAAATTCCTAGACACATACAACCTACCAATATTGAACCAGAAAGAAATAAAAAACCTGAACTGACTAACAACAAGTAATGCGATCAAAGCTGTAATGAACTCTCCCAGTAAAGAAAAGCCCGGGACTCAGTGGCTTCACTGCTGAATTCTACCAAACATTTAAAGAAGAACTGATACCAGCCAGGTGTGGTGGTTCATGCCTGTAATCCCAGCACTTTGGAAGGCAGAGGAAGGTGGATCACTTAAAGTCAGGAGTTCAAGACCAGCCTGGCCAACATGGTGAAATTTCATCTCTACCAAAAAAAAATATAAAAATTAGCCAGGTGTGGTGGCAAAATACTGCAGTCCCACTACTGGGGAGCTGGAGGTGGGAGAACTGCTTGAACCCAGAAGGTGGAGGCGGAGGTTGCAGTGAGCCAAGATCACGGCACTGCACACCAGCCTAATTGACAGAGTGAGACCCTGTCTCAAAAAAAAAAAAAAAAAAAAAGAGAGAAGAAAAAAGAAAGAAAAAAGAACTAATACTAATCCTACTCAAACTTTTCCAAAAAATAGAGGAGAAAGGAATACTTCTAAACTTGTTCTATGAGGCCAGTATTAACCTGATACTAAAACCAGAAAAAGACATATCCAAAAGAGAAAATTATGGGCCAATATCTGATGAATATCGATGTAAAAAATCCTCAAGAAAATACTAGCAAACCAACTTAAAAAATACATTAGAAAGATAATTCATCATGGCCAAATGGGGTTTATCCTTGGGATGCAAGGATCGTTCAACATATGCAAATCAATCAATGTGATACATCGTATCAAGAGAATAAAGGATAAAAACCATATGATCACTCCACTGATGCTGAAAAAGCTTTTGATAACATTTAGCATCCCTTCGTGATAAAAACCCTCAAAAAACTGGGTATAGAAGGAACATACCTCAACATAATAAATGCCATATATGACAAACCCACTGCTAATATCATACTGAATGGGGAAAAACTGAAAGTCTTTAAGATCAAGAACATGATAAGGGTGCCTACTTTCACCACTGCTATTTGACATAGTACTGGAAGTCCTAGCTAGAGCAATCGGACGAGAGAAATAAATAAAGGACATCCAAATTGGAATGTAAGATGTCAAATTATCCTTCTTTGCAGATGATATGATCTTACATTTGGAAAAACCTAAAGACTCCACAAAAAACTATTAGAACTGATAAACAAATTCAGTAAAGTTGCAGGACTATAAAATCAACATACAAAAATCAGTAGCATGCCTATATGTCAACAGTGAACAATCTGAAAAAGAAATTTAAAAAGTAATCCCATTACAATAGCCACACATAAAACTAAATACCTAGGAATTAACCAAACAAGTGAAAGATCTCTGTAATGAAAACCATGAAGCATTGATGAAAGAAATTGAAGAATACCCCAAAAATGGAAAGATATTCCATGTTCATGTATTGGAAGAATCAATATCATTAAAATGTCCATGCTATCAAAAGCAATCTATAGATTCAATGCAATCCCTATTAAAATACCCAATAATGTCTATTTCAAGACATTCTTCACTGAAATAGAAAAAAAAAAAAAAACATCCTAAAGTTTATATGGAACCACAAAATACCCAGAATGCCAAAGCTGTTCTGAGATAAAGAACAAAACTGGAGGAATCACATTACCTGACTTCATATTATACTGCAGAGCTATAGTAACCAAAACAACATGGCACTGGCATAAAAACAGACACATAGACCAGTCGAATAGAATAGAGAGCCCAGAAACAAATCCACACACCTACATTGAACTCATTTTTGACAAAGGCCCCAAGAACATACACTGGGGAAAAGACACTCTTTTCAGTGAATGATGCTGGGAAAGCTGGATATCCATAGGCAGAAGGCTGAAACTAGACCCATTTCTCCTTCCATATACAAAAATCAAATCAAAATGGATTAAAGACTTAAATCTAAGACCTGAAACTATGAAACTACTATAAGAAAACATTGGGGAAAATCTCCAGGACATTGGTCTGGGCAAAAATTTCTGGAGCAATACTCCACAAGCACAGACAACCAAAGCAAAAATGGACAAATGGGATCACGTCAAGTTAAAAACCTTCTGCACAGCAAATGAAACAATCAACAAAGTGAAGAGATAACCCACAGAATGGGAGAAAATATTTGCAAACTACCCATCTGACAAGGGATTAATAACCAGAATATATAAGAAGCTCAAACAACTCTGGAGAAAAAAAAATCTAATAATCTGATCAAAAATGGGCAAAAGATGTGAATAGACATTTCTCGAAAAAAGACATACAAATGGCAAACAGGCATATGAAAACGTGCTCAACATCATTAATCATCAGAGAAATGCAAATCAAGACTACAATGAGATGTTATCTCACCCCAGTTAAAATGGCTTTTATACAAAAGACAGACAATAACAAATGCTGGTGAGGATGTGGAGAAAAGGGAACCCCCGTATACTGTTGGTGGGAATGTACATTAGTACAATCACTATGGAGAACAGTTTGAAGCTTCCTCAAAAAACTAAAAATAGAGCTACCATATGATTCATCAATCCCACTGCTAGGTATATACCCCAAAGAAAGGAAATCAGTATATTAAAGAGATATCTGCACTGTCATGTTTGTTGTTGCACTGTTCACAGTAGCCAAGATTTGGAAGCAACCTAAGTGTCCATCAACAGATGAACGGATAAAGAAAATGTGGTACATATACACAATTGAGTACTATTCAGCCATAAAAAAGAATGAGATCCAGTCATTTGCAACAACATGGATGGAACTGGAGATCATTATGTTAAATGAAATAAACAAGGCACAGAAAAACAAACATCACATGTTCTCACTTATTTGTGAGATCTAAAAATAAAAAAAAAATTGAATTCATGGAGATAGAAAGTAGAAGGATAATTACCAGAGGCTAGGAAGGATACTGAGGGTGTGAAGGGTAGGTAGGGATGGTTAATGGGTACATAAAATAGTTTAAAAGAATGAATAAGACCTAGTATTTGATAGCACAACAGGGTGACTAGAGTCAATAATAATTTAATTGTACATTTAAAAATAACTGAAAGAGCATAAATAGACTGTTTGGAACACAAAGGATAAGTGCTTGTGGGGATGGATACCCCATTCTCCATGATGTGATCGTAACTCACTGCATGCCTGTATCAAAACATCTCCTGACCTTGTAAATACATATATGGGGGGACACCTATAATGTACCCACAAAAATTAAAAAATAAAAATAAGGGGAAGGTAGGGTGGCCATCATGATGGTCAAGCAGTGACAGGCTGGGGCCAGGGTGACAGTTGGCAGTTGGAATGGGGGAACTGTGAGGAATCTGAGAAGGTTGGAAGTCAGCCCTGACCAGAGGGGATGGGATGTGAGAGACGGATGTCAGGTGGCATGAGGCAAGGGAAGAATTTCAGAGGCAGGAAGAAAGTACACATAATAGCTCCCTGAGCAGAAACAGAAATGGGAAGGGAATATGATCTGAGAGAGAGTTTCATCTGCCTTTACAATGCCGGAGGCAGAGATTGGCACACAAGGACAGGGTCTTGTCTTCTGGTAGCTTGTCTAATACAGGACACAGGCAAGCTCACAAGAAACTGCCTCGTAGGGCTGAGTGAAATTTGCTGATAGAGCTGCAGAATCACATTCCTCAAAGACAGGAAGGAGCTTAACGTAAGTTTGGGTTCTCTGGACCTGAGATGAAGGCAGGGCGTCAGGAGGAGGTGGCCAGCCAGTCTGGGGGGTTTAGGGCAAACTGAGAAGGGCGAAGTGAGTCGGGCACTGAGATTTATGAAATAAACGCACCAAGTTGTGTGAATAAATGATCAGGGAAAGAGAGAGTTGCTTGAGGAGGAAAGAGAAGCCAAAGACCCTGGATCACTCAGAGAACTGGAGACAGCATGGGGGCTTGAGCCAAACTGCCGGGATTTGTTCTGTCCCTTGTTGCTTGTGTGTTCCTGGGTCATTATCACCTTCCCTGTGCCTTAATACCTCCATCTGTTAAGTGGGTACTATTATAGTATCTATAGCAAAAGCTACATAAATTGATAAAGTAAAATGGCGGGATGTTGCTTGGTTCATAGGAAGGGTTCCATCAATGTTAGCCGGCCTCAGTGCGTTAAGAGGGACAAAAGAGAGGCTGTAAGCCACACTGAGCTAGTGCAGCGTCACTGAAGTTCTAGTACGGAGAGGGCTTTAAGAAGTAGAACGGGGTCAGGATGACCATGGGGAACACATAGTGTGCACATGAATGCATTATTTCATTAATTCTATGCAACTCTGTGCGAGGAACTACTATCTGCCCAAGTTTACGGATGAGGAAACCGAGGCTCATAAACAGAAAGTGACCAGCACCAGGTGGCTTAGCCAGACACATGCACAGCTGGAATTTGAATCTACGACTGTACAGTCCTACAACCCATGCACCCACACTGCCCTTTAGGAGCCACCCAGCAGCATGAGGGGAAGGAACAGGCTGGCCCTGGCAGTGTGGGGCTGTAGCCAGCTGTGCAGATCAAGTGGGCAAAGAAGAAACGATGTGGCAGATGTAGGTCACTCATCTTGAGACCTCTGGTCAAGAATGAGGGGCCGGGCATGGTGGCTCAAGCCTGTAATCCCAGCACTTTGGGAAGCTGAGGTGGGTGGATTACCTGAGGTCGGGAGTTCAAGACCAGCCTGACCAACATGGAGAAAAATCCATCTCTACTAAAAATACAAAATTAGCCAGGCGTGGTGGTGCATGACTGTAATCCCAGCTACTGGGGAGGCTGAGGCAGGAGAATCACTTGAACCTGAGAGGCAGAGGTTGCCGTCAGCCGAGATCACGCCATTGCACTCCAGCCTGGGCAACAAGAGCCAGACTCCATCTCAAAAAAAAAAAAAAAAAAGTAAGGAATAAGGCAACAACTTGGGGGCATGAAAGGGTCACCTAGGAGTTTTTTCAGAGGGGCATGCAGGACATGTTTTCAAGCAGGGTGGAAATGGAGAAGGAGAAGAGGCTGGGGGTATAACTGATGGAAAAAGGGCCTTGGGGGAGTGAGAAGTGCTGAAATTGGGCCACATCAGAAGGAAATTTGTTTTGGACAAAAGGAAGAGAATGGCTACAATGGGAGGGAGTCCATTACTGTATCAAAGTAAGTAAAGGGTGGCCACATGCCCCTGCTCACTCTGTGGGAAGAAAAGCTGAACTCCACCTTGGCACAGGTGTCTGGTGAGCTGGAAGGGCACATTCGACTGGAAACCAGAACATTTGTGCAAGGGCTGCGGGGTGTCTTAGAGAAAGCAAGTTGGGTCCCTGCTGGGGATCAGACCAGCCTGAGCTCCAGCCATCCACACACCCACGCAGGCACTCCACAAATTGTTGGGACTAACCAGAGAGTCAAAATTACACAAAACAAGAGATGCCGTCTTCGCCGATGTGGCTCACAGGCTGTGGGAGAGACTGGCAGGTGAACTGGCAGTTAAGGCGGGAATGATGCTGTAACTGGTGATGTGAATGAGGCCGTGGAAGTCCTGAGGAGGAGTCCCAGTGCAAAAGTGAGATCTAAGTTCAGGGCTGCAGGAAGGGGCAGAGGGAGGAGCGGAGGTGAGAGTGTTAGGCAGGGCAAGCGGCTTCTGCAAGCGACTGGAGGAGCAGGGCACAATACCTTCCAGGAGCTGAATGGTGTTCTCAGCCCCTGGAGCACAGACTGCGGGTGTGGAGAGGTGGCAGCTTGCACTTTATCCTTATGTGGCTGAAGGGCCATCGATGTCTTTTGAGCAGGGAGAGGCCTGATGGGATTTGGAGAGCTGCCTGTTTCCTCTGCACTGCAGGATGGGATTGAGCGTGCCCCTGGCTGAGGAAGGAGGGCACAAGGACGCTGCGGCCGACAGGCCAGGTGAGAGGGGACCTCGGCAGCAATCACAGAGTGGGATGGCAGGCTCACGAAATAATCCAGAGAAGGGCTTGGGGGTCTTGGCAATGGTGAGGACGATGGTGTACACCAGCGAGAGGGTCATGCTGGGGAAAGTATGATGGGGTGCTTTTATGTGAGGAAAGGGGAGAAACCTGGTTTTGAAACCAGGTTTTGATGTGCGTGCAAGATGTCTGTGCAGTCACATCCAGCAGGCAACCAGCCTGTAGGATGGTGGTTTGGAAGAGATGTGGGAAGGAGTCAATGACTTGGGAGGTGTCAGCATAAATTGAAGTCCCAACTCCGGGTGCTGCGTGGGTGAGTCTGTCTCATCGCCCCAGGAACAGGAAGACTGCTCTGCTGGGTGAAATGAAAAGGTCGAGGTTTGGTTTTGATTTTTAAGGTGGACAAGACTTGAGCTTATTACGTGAGCTTGAGACACTGATGGAATTGTCTGGAGCTTATTGAGACACTGTGGGAAGGCACCCACAGAGAGGGGTGCAACCCTGAAAGAGGGAGGGGATAGTTAGTGGACACACGTCTCTGAGAAGTCCGGATTCATGTGCAGTGATCCACCTTGGGCAGGGGAAGGGGGAAAGGCGCTGGGGTGGAGGTCTGAGGTAATAAATAGCTGCTGTACAGGTGGGAAGAGCCGGGGGGGACCTAGGTGAGAGCACCAGGAGGTGCAGGGGGTGGGCTTGGAGCCTGTCACTCCACAGGGGCAGAAGAGGGTCATTTTTGATGGTTTTTGTCCATAGGACTCTGCACCTTAGGTGCAGGAGAGGAGGTGACAGGAAGCTGAGGCTTGGCTGGCCACATGCAAAGGCATGACTCCTGCCCTGCAATTCAAAGGCACGTACAGACAGAGAAGTAGGCCTGGAGGACGGTGGGGTAGCCCTGCAGGTGTCTCTGCACAGAGCCTGAGGGGTTTGGGCAGACCTTTCTGAACCTGTTGATGGAAGTCTGAGGAGGTGCCTGGGAGGAACTCCATCCCCACTTCATCCTGAGGGGCCATAAGGCCAGGCTCTGATCGCTGGCCTTTTGACTAGAAGAGCAGAAAAGTACCTGGGGGGTCCATTGCAGCAGCAGCCAAGCTGAGCAAGAGCAGATGTGTTTGTGAGAACATCTGAGATGCCCATGAGGGCCTCCCAGGGAGGGGGTAGCTCCAGGTGGCTTTGCAGGAGGAGAGGAGCCAGGGAAAGCGGAGTGACCACAGGAGCTCAGACCCCAGCTCAGTGCTGCCTGGGGATGCTCCAGTCAACATTCGTGCACACGAACCGCCTGTAATGCCACACTCACACCCCCAAGCCATACCCACCATTTCCAGGGCACCTTACAGACTGGAAGCACTTGCCCCCAGACTTCATCCTTTATGCTCATAACGACCCCATGGAAGCGGGTGCTTTGATGCCTCGCAGATGAGGAAAGAGAGTTGGAGAACTTAGGGAATTTTTCTAACATCACACAACTCACAGGTCGGGAATCCAACCTGAATTTATCTTCACATCTTTTCATATTGCATGCTGTTTAAGTTCCATGGCCCTTTGTTATAATCAATCTTTGCCATACACTCACAGCTCCCTTCTTTGGGCTTACTCAGTAAACGGCAAGCCCAGCCAAGATCAACTCTTTGCCTACTACTCCCACCTTCAGAAGCATGGCTGACCATGGCTGGAAAAAAAACAAAAAAAAACAAAAAAACCCTCCACTTTGATGGCCAAATTCATGGCCTTTAACCTCAAGTCAGTCCAGTGAGGCTCTGGTGCTGTCTGGCCCATTCACTCTCCCACTACTGCGGATAACTATTTCATACCTTCTCCTCTGCTTCACATTCCTGGAAGGATCCAGGACCCCAGCGTGCAGCAAAGTTATGGTAGGAAAGCTCCATCTCTGATCATCAGAGAAGGTGCCTGAGGTCTGGATATCGGTACCAACCACCTCTGCCCAGTTCCCAGGGATCAGCTAAATATGCAAATTCCCTAGGGTTTGACAATGAATGACTCCCCTGATACTAATTCACATATTTAACATGCTCTTTGGGAGTGATGGCATTTTGAAGAAGGGTTCATTAGCGCCTTGTTATTCTGAGTGGGCAGTGTTAGGGGACCCACAATGACTGTGCTCTATGCTGCTCTTCCCTGTCCTGTCTCCCTGTCTGCATCAGAAAGAAGATATGCAACTAACATAAGGCTAGGAATGTGTCACCTGGCTGCTTCTCACCTGGGAGGGGTGAGGGGACTTTGGGTGAAACTTGGGGAGATTCACTGCAGCTCCCACTTCTCCTGGGATGCACCAGGCCAGCAGAGCTGCCATCTGTTTTACTCTGGTTCCATGCACCACCTCTACACAATGAGCACCAAGCAGAGATGTCATTTGAGTGAAAGTGATGTCAGTTGACAAACGGTAACTCTTTTAAACTTCACTGCTCCTTCCATCCTGTCGAGGGCCACAGAGCAGAGAGGTCAACGGGGCCCCAGTCTCTCCCTACCTCATGACCGTGGTCCTGTGGTTTGCAGGCTTCTTTGTGAACCAGTAATTCTTTAGGGAGCTTAAAAATATTAGAAAATTTTTATTTAAAAGCATTAGATTTTTGTAACGTTCTAGCTCCATAACTATCTAAATGGCTCCTAGAAACAAGCAGACATTTCTTTCTTAGGCTCTAAGTTGAGGTGACCTTCCTTAGTGGTGAATACTGTTTGTCAAAACCACAAATCTCAGAGTTGACTCTGGCAGGTTGAGTGTCCATGCAGACACCAGGGAATGCAGATGGTACATATCTGAGTCCAGGTAAGACCCAAGTAAGAGTCCCTTAAGGGTGAGACACAACAGGAATCAAAGTTGAAGAAGTGACAGATGTCTATAAAGTCCCCTTGGTGGAAGAGCTGGTCCCAATGGCTGAGGCTGGAGCTGGCATCCTTCTGACAGGGAGACCAGGCTGGGTATTCTGCTCAAGTCAGCCTGTTGGATGCCCTGGCTACACATACACTTGATAGCTCTGGGGAAACCCAAGTCCACAGGCTGAGCCACAGGAAGATTCTAGTCCAGGAACTGCTGGACTGGGGTGGGGGACAGGGGCAGGTAGAAGCAGAGATTCAGGGCATAGGAGAACTAAGTCCTGAGTGCTTTTAAGAGCTAGGAAGCAGTGCTCGCATCAAAGCTGACTTCTCTGCAGAGCCACTGTTGAAGACCCAGAGGAGCAGAGCAAGAACCGCATCTGAGCACCAAGACTTCTCTCTGGTCTCAGGCCCCAGGCAGTGTGGCCTTCTGTCCCGTCCCCATGCCTGCCAGGCCAATTCCCTCCTCTTAGTTCTGGTCATGAGGGGCCCTTGCACTTCCAGGCCCCCCATCACCCTCATCATTCCACTTATGGAAATCTCTCTCATGAACTTCCCAAGCCCCCACCTGCTTGCTAGACCCCTCAATATCAGGCTGCTTTCTGGGAGCCCATTGCTTTCTCAAAGCCCCACACCTCTGAGAGTTGCAGACCTGGGAAGTGAAGCAGAAGCTTCTCAGGGTACCATGAGCACTGTGCAGGGACAGAGACTGGAGCCCCACCCTGCGGGCTTCTGGCTTGGCCCGGCCCTGCAAAGTCTCAGGTCATGTGGCCTGGAGTTTCTGTAACAATCTAAGGTTGTTACAATCTAAGGTTGTAACAATCTAAGGTACCAAGTCTAAGGTTCTAAGCAGACACTGCTGCCTCTTCATGCTGCTCAAATAAAACAGTGATGGGGAAAAGGAATGTGAGATCAAGAGTTCCAAGGTGAATGGGGTGTGTCAGAGAGCGGGAAGGAGTGGGTGGCAGACCTAGGGACGATTTTTCCTCTCCACTCTCTAAAATGACTTTCACACCTTTTTATCTCTTCTCATACCTCCAACAGCCCTGACTCTCCTTACTCTCAGCCACTACATTGCTTCCTGTTTAGCTGAGAAAACATGTAAACTACCCCAGATTTTATTAGTAGCCATTCTTCCTCTTAAGCACTGGACCCCACCCTACTTCCTATTCAAGGACATCCCTCCTGCAATTGACCTCTATCCACCTGCATCATTAGTTTTTCCCTCTCTGTGGGATCATTTCTGAGCAAATCATCCTGGGATGGTGAACTTTTAAAAGTCAACTCGACAGAGGTATAATTTGTGTATAAAATGCACCCATTTAAGATGTGAAGTTAGATGAGTTTGACAAATGTATACACCTGTGGAGTCACCACCATAGCCATCACATTATATAAATTCCCATCACCCTCCAAAGGTTTCCCATCACTGAGTAGTATTCCCTTGTATGGATACAGCACAGTTTGTTTATTCATTTGCCTATTGGTGTACAATTGTGTGGTTTCTACTTTTTGGCTATTATGAATAAAAAGTGCAGTGAACATTCATCGATGAGTCTTTGTGTGGACATATGTTACCATTTCTCTCGAGTAAATACAAGTGGAATAACTGAGCTATGTGATATGTATAATTTTATGAGAAACTTCCAAACTTCTTCAAAGTGGTGGTACCACTTTACATTTCAATGGCAGTCTATGAGAATTCCAGATACCACACTTGGTATTGTCAGGTTTTTCCCCCTAACGTTAGCCCTTCTATTTTGTGTTTGTGTGTGGAGGTATTTTCATTTTGGTTTTAATTTGCATTTCTCTGGTGACTGATGTTGAACCTCTTGTGTTTATTGGCTATCCATATATCTTGTTTTATGAAGTATATGCATATCTTTTGCTTATTGTATTGTTATAGTTTTCTACATATCACCACACATTTGTCAGCCTAAACCAAAAACTAAAGTCCACTTACTGTCTCTCAGTTTCCATAGGCAAGCCGTGGCTCAGCTGGCTCTTCCGCTCCAAGTCTCACAAGGCTGCAATCAAGGTGTCAGCCTGGGCTACAGTGTGATCTGAGACTCAGGTCTTCTTCCAAGCACAGGTGGTTGTCTGCAGAATTCATTTCTCTGCCGCTATAGAACTCATGGTGGCTCGTTTCCAGGCCAACAGGAGAGCTTCTCTTCTGCTTCAAGAGCTTAAAATTCTTCTTATCATGCCCATTTTTGTATTGGGTGGTTTGTCTTCTTACTGAGTTGGATGAGTACTTTATAAATTCTAGGTACAAGCCCTATGCAGATGTACATATTGCAAATATTTTCTCCCAGGCCATAACTTGCCATTTCATTTTCTTAATGGAGTGTTGGGAGAAGAGAAATGTTTGATTTAAATGAAGTCTAACTTCTCAACTTTTTTTTTGTATGGTTCATGCTTCTTATTCTTATACAAGAAACATTTGCCTATCCAAAGGCTACAATATTTTCTCCTATATTTTCTTCTAGAAGTTTGATAACCTTAGCCTTATATTTAGTTCTATGACCCATTTTAAGTCAACTTTTCTGTATGACGTGAGATAAGAGTTGAGATTCAATTTTCCCCCCAAATTGATATCCCATTTTTACCACACTATCGGTTGAAAACACCATTTCCCCTGTTGGCACCTTAACTGAAAAAAATAAATTGACCATACATAAGTGGATCTAATTCTAGATGCTTTATTGTTGTATTAGTTTACATTTCTCTACTTATATCTACAATAATTATGTGATTGCTCCATGTTTATATTAAGTCTTTCAATAAATTATATCCTTCAGCTTTTTGTTCTTTTCCAAAATTGTTTGAGCTATTCTATGGCACAAAGGTCATATTTTATATAAATTTCAGCTTGCCAACTTCTAAAAGAAAACAAGCCTGCTAGGTTTGCACAGAATACATAACTCAATTGGGGAAGAAATGCCATTTAATGATATTGAATTTTCCGATTCATAAATCCAGTATATATCTCCATTTTCCTTCAACATTATGTTATAGTTTTTGGTGTACATGTTTGCACATATTTCATTAAAATTTCACTGAATATATTTCATAGTTTTGGGTGCTGTTATAAATGGCATTTAAAAATTTCATTTTCAGGCCAGGCGTGGTGGCTTATGCCTGTAATCCCAGCACTTTGAGAGGCAGAGGCAGGTGGATCACCTGAGGTCAGGAGTTCAAGAGCAGCCTTGCCAATATAATGAAACCTTGTCTCTACAAAAATACAAAAATTAGCCAGGCATGATGGCAGGCGCCTGTAATCCCAGCTACTCGGGAGGCTGAGGCAGGAGAATTGCTTGAACCCGGGAGGCAGAAGTTGCAGTGAGCCGAGATGGTGCCATTGCACTCCAGCCTGGGTGACAGAGCGAGACTCCATCTCAAAAAAATTTTTTTTTCATTTTCAATTATTCATTGCTGGTATATAAAAGTATTACCAATTTTTGTATAGTGATCTTGTGTTTTGTGACTTAGCTAAATTTACTTAATAGTCCAGGAGATTTTAAAAAAGATTCCTTATGATTTTCTATAAATATGACCATGTCATGAGCCAATAAAATTTGTTTCCTTCTTTTCCTATCTATATGCCATTTTGCACTTGCTGAGACCTCCAACACAATGTTAAATGAAACTAGTGAGACCAGACATCCTCCACTTGTTTCCATTAGTAAGGAGAAGGTATTCAGTTATTCAGTATTCAGAAAGTACTCAGTATTCAGTGTTATGTATATATGTATATTTAGTGTGTATATATATGTATCCAGTAAATTTTATATATATAATATATAGTATATCTAAATATAGTATATCATACCATTAAGTATGATGCTGTAGGTTTTTCATACATGCCCCTGATAAGGCAAAGGCTGAGGAAGTTCCCTTAAATTCCAAGTCTGCTGAGATTTTTTTTTTATCATCAATGGGTATTAAATTTTGTCAAATATTTTTCTGTATATATTTAGATTATTATATGGTTTTTCTTTTTTAAAAAAGTATAATGAATTACATTGATTGATTTTTGAATATTAAGCCAACCTTGGATTCCTGGAATTAATTCTAGTTGACCATGATGTATTTGTGTGTGAGATATATATATGTGATATATATATATACGTATATATGTGTATATATGTATATATGTGTATGTATATGTGTATATATGTATATATGTGTATATATATATTTAGTGTGTGTATGTATACACAGTACATAATTATATACATAATATATCTAAATAATATATACATATGTTATATATAAATACACATACATACATACATACAGTCTTCAATTTGCATTGTTCCAATATGTACAAATTTCAGTCACCATGGGTTAAATAAATAACACGAGGGTGACCCAAAAATACAGTTCAAATCTCAAATCTCAGTTATCAAGGCATATTAACTGTAAGTAGTCGCATAAAGTGCAAACTTCACTGCTGGCTCCTCAGTCCAAAAGTCACTATATAAGTGACAGATGTGCATCACGATCAGTGACCAACCATGACACTTCTTTCAAAGCCTCTCTGACCTCTTACTGCACAACTCTTACTCAGTTCACACACAGACAGCAAAATATGTTGCTGTGTTACCTCCCCGTCTTCCAGTGATAAACTCACGTGGCATTCTATAAACAGGTAATCAAAATGAAAAGTGAGAAGGGTGGAGGTGAAATCTGAGTCAAACCTAAATGCAGTTAAAGATTAAATAGTTGACCATAGGAATGCTGATGCTGCTGTCATTTGAAACTACATCTGCAGCCAGAGGAACTTACTGAAGGTAAACTTACTGACATAAAGGTATAAGCGGTTATGACAAAAAAGATGATGTCTCAGAGGAAGTGTCTGTACTTAACTTTCCCTGCTTTCTCATTTCCTGTGCACTATTTTTTCATTTGTTTTCCTGTGAAATATATAATACATACATATACCAACATAACAATGTAATGTGCTCAGTTCAAAAAATTATAAAGTGAACATCCTCCTCCCTCCTGCCCTGCGGATGTATCCATCACTCTAGAAGTTGTGTTAAATGTTTCCATGTGTTTTTTTTTATTGTTTTACTACGCAGGAATTCATTCCTAAAAGACGTTTATCTTTTTCTCTTGCCTCACTTTTACTTTATGCAACTATCATTTTTCATGTCTATATTATATGTTTGAGATTGTGTCTGTATTGATGTATAGAACTGCAGTTCATTCATTTCCCCTGCAGTACTGCATTCTGTTTTATGACTGTATTATACTCAGTATGGATTAATCCCTGTCATGATGTAGAGCAACAGAATCTTATCACAAGAAATGACATACTGTGTGGTTCCATTTATATGCTCAAGAATATGCTAAACTAATCTGTGGGAATAGAGGTCAGAACAGTGGTTCTCTTGGGCGGGGGGCATGGAATGGAACGGGAAGGGGCACCTTTGGAAGTGTTGGAAATGTTCTAAATCTTGAACTGGATGGTGATGGCCCAAACATAATCATATTGAAGATTTGCAAATATTCACATTTACATGTTTAACAAAAAAGCTTAAAAAATAAATACATGAAAATATCGAGTTTATAAACAAGTATTAATATAAGCAAATATAAACAATTATTTATAAATTATTTCTGGAGTTTATAAACCAACACCTATAGCCACTTAAGAGATATTTTCAATACATAAATGCTGAGCTCTGAATTTTTCCCAGTTGTTGCCATTCCACTAGGCATGTTTTATGAAAAAAGTGAACTGACACTGTGTATAGGGGTTTATAAGATTAGCTATTTAATATTTTTTAAAGATAGGCTTTCATGAGTTCAACTACGTTTTTCATTGAGAAATCTAGACATGCATGAACATAGGAGAAAGTGGCTTGCCAGGCATGGAAGGCTGGGGGCTGTGTTTAAACCTGCATGCCCATGTTGCCTGATCAAAATCCTTCACAAACGGTTTCTTCATGAGAATCTGGTCTTTCATCATGGCGGTCACCTTAGTCCTAGGGGAAAAGGATAGGATTTTTTTTTGTCCTTCTATGTCATGAATTCTTTGTTTAACATCAAATTATTCTTACTGCTGAAATCCTACACCTGTTAAAACCTTACAGGTGAGGTGATAAAAAGTAAGGAATAAGATCTGAGCTGGAATTCTGGCCTGGCCTTTTACTGTCACTTAGAACCAGGCCTGGCAAAGGGCGAATATATGAGAAGGAATAGCTACCCACATTATCATTATTGCTTTTATTATTGCACCTGTTCTTGATGATTTTATAGTTTTTTTCTCTAAGAACAATGTAAAGTGTTTAGAAGCCCAATAAAAAGCATTGAGAAATACAATACAAAACATCCAAAAACTTTGCCCTTTATTGGAGTAACTCTCTCATGCCTAATGGTTCTGGGACTCCAGCTCCTCTTCTGGGCATGCTCCAAAAGAGGAACCAGTATGCCCGCTCAGTGCTTCCTTAGGGGAAAGGGACACCTTTCTCTGCTGGATTGGCTGGGCAGGTAGATGGGATCATCCCTGCCAGCTGTTTCCTCTTTACTTCAGAAGGCTGTGGTGAACCACAAAAGAGAGTGGACATGATGCTTTGAAAAGTGTGTATCGCCTTGCAGACAGAGGCTAGCATCCATTACCTACTCTCATTTCTCCCCATACCAACCATATAAAAACGCTGGGACCTGCCAGGATGTTTAGGAACAAATTATTACCCACCCATGCTTAGGGAGGCCCCAGTGAAAAAGGCCTCTTCCAGAAATGCCCAGCATCAGGAACAAGGACTCTTCCAAAAACACTCAGTATTAGGGAACAAGGCCTCTTCCAAGAACACCCAGCATTGGGAAAATGATGTGCCTGTGTGGTGGCCAGGTGTCATGGAAAAAGGACAAAGGCAACCCTCTCCGGTACCATGTGGTATAAAATGCAGGGGAGGCTTTACTGGAGAGAATCCTACAAGAGGAGAAGTGGAGTGTTCATGAACCTCAGATCCATCCTCCCAAAGACAGGCAGGCAGAGCAGGGCAGTGCTGGGCTGGACGTGTCACAGACAACCCTGTGGTATCGCAAAGCACTCAAGACGTACGGGGTGGGTGGTGAGCTAATGCTGTGCTTCTAGAGCTTTCTCAGGTCGGGGTTTTTGGGGCTCCCCAAGAATGTCCTGCCTGGAGAAAGAGGAGAAGAGAGAGGGATGTCTCTTCACTCTGAACACCACTATCCCGTGGGGTCGTGATGTTCCCCGAAACTGTCAGACCTAGAAACGCCCCCAGTATGGAGTCCCTGCTGCTCACCAAACTTCTATTCCCAATCTTTTCTCTGGCCCTGTCCCCCTCCACAGCCCACCGTTAAGGGCATTCTTCTACTTCAGTATTCCATTCTACTCCACAAATACCTCTGGACACCTTCCAAAAGCCACCTCTTTTCTGTGTTGGGAGGATCTGGAAAGCATGATCCTAAAGTAGCCCCGGGTGCTGCCTCCCTCTGGGCCTCCAGTCTGGCTGCCCCCAGGGGTGTCTTTCTAAGGCCCAGCTCACAGGCGTCCCTCCCAGGCTCAGACACCTCTCGTGCTTCTTCAGGCATCCAGGCCGAGATCTAGAAGATTCCATAAAGGGCCTTGAATCCTCTGTCTGGGAGTCAAGGTCTGTACTCTGGTGTTGTGCCCTCTTCCGTCTCCACAGTGTTAACTTCCTCTGCTGTCTGGCCCTCACCTTCCCCCACTCGTACCTGTGGCCCCATGAACACCCATTACTTCTCCTGATCCTCTGGTTTGGTTTGAAATGTGGCCCCCACCGTTCATGGGTCATTGAAATCCAACCAATCTCCTCCTCCTGCCTCATCTCCAGGAAGCCCTCCTTGACTGGACTGTGGCTGTCCTCACTACCTCACTCTCCCCATCCTCACGTCTCCTGAAACGCACGGGCATTGAACCTCATGCACACGTGGTTGGGAGGTTCTCCAGTTGATTTCTGCAGGCCAGTTCTGAATTCTCCTGTCAGTGAGGAGCTCCTTAAGCCAGGAGGGACTGCACCACTCTGCTCTCGGAGGGGAGGGGAGGAGTGGTCCCTGGTGTCCTCTGATGCCCAGGCCCAGCCGAAATATGGACGACCACGTGCTACAGAGAAGAAGGAGAACTGGGCCGAATGTTAGGGTCCTGGGTTCTGGTGCTGTCTTCCAAGTACCCCTAAGCCTACTGTTTCTATCTCTGGGCCTCAGCTCCTGAAGCTGCAAAATGGAAACACATGGGCTGGGCTGGCTGATTCCTAGAAGCCTTTACAGTTTTCACAGATTCAGTCCTCTCCGAGTGGTTTTCAACGTTGTGCATCAGACTCACCTGAGGAACTTTTAAATAATGGCGATGTCCACGCCCCACTCCCGAAGACAGGAGATGGCAATTGAAGTGAGCCCACCCACCTGCAGTTTTCTAAAAGCTCATCAGATGACTCCAACGTGCAGACTCAGCTTGCTTGGAGAGGAGGGCCGCTGACTAGGACCTGTCTGTTTTCAGACAAAGCGATGGACTCATGCTGCCCCCTGGTGGTCAGATTGCTCACTTCAGGCAGTTCCACATCTTAGGGTCTTGCCGTGGGGCAGGAAAAATGTACCCAATGAATAAGGATGAAAAGAGAAAAAGAAAGGAAGAGAAGAACACTACCTGGTTTCTCCATGACCCAAGGATTCGCAGACTCGTGAGTATTCCCTTTCCCCACTGTCCCCTACAATAAAGTTTATATTATTTATAATAAATAAAGAGACTGAGTCCGGGGGGCAGTAATATCTGACTTTGAAACCAACCCAATAGTCCCATCGACAGTTTTGGGTGTTTTTTGTTTTTTGTTTTGGATAAACATAGAAATTGACCCTTATGACCTTAAAGCTTGAAACTTACATTTGTTTTTATCAGAATTTCAGAGTTTCTTTCTCCAGGAAAGGACAACCAGGCCTCTCCAAAAAAAAAAAAAAAAAAGTATCAAAGATCTGAAACTCACCAGATCATTGCATCCAGACTAGAAACTCCAGGCCCCTCATTCATCATGATTGCTTCCTGACCCTTCCCGAGTTCCTGTTTTCTCACACAGTTACATTCCTTCCCTGCTGTATAAACCCCTAATTTTAGCTGGTCAGGGAGATGAATTTGAGACTCCTCTCCCAGGGAGATGATTTGAGGCTGACCTCCCATCTCCTCAGCTGCAGCACCCAATTAAAGCCTACTTCTTTGGCAATAATTGTTGGGTCAGTGATTGGCTTTCTGTGCCGTGAGCAGCAGGACCTAAGCCGAACCCCTTGTGTTTCGGTAACATGTTAGGCATGAAAAAGCCCCCTCTGGATCCACAGGCTGGGTGTAAGGGGAATTCAGAAGGTGACAGGCTTGGGGGAGCTTCTGAGACAGCAAAGCCAAGCAGGACACTTGAGATAATGAGATGTTAAGTACCTGGAAAAATGAGTACCCAGTGCTAGGTTTATCACTATTCACCAGTCGCCATGACATTGGGCAAGCTCATTTCTCTGAGCCTCAGTGAGTGCTGCTCACTATTCTGAACACCAAATGTGTTCCTGGACAAAGTCTGTCAAGGGCCACAGAGATTTAACCGATTCCACACTCTCCAAACTCCTGCCCGTTCCACATGGGGTAGAGTTTCCCAAACCTGGTTGGAAGTCAGCAAAAACTGGGGAGCTCATTTCTTAAACATAATATAAGAGAATGTGTTCAAAGTATCATTTTATCATCATAATACAATCTATATGTTACTTATAAGAAAAATGAATTTAAAAAGCAGGTATGTCTCATAGGCTACAGCTTAAGGACAAGATTCGGGGGAGTGGAAGTAAGGAGTAGGCTGGATAGCTCCCCAGTGCACAGTGGCCCACAAGGACCACAGGGAGTGTGTCTGTTTCTATGGGTGACACCAGGCTGGGCAGTCTCCAGCATCAGCATTAATTATGCCAAGACTCGCTCTGTCAGGCCCCAGATCAGGGGAGACTATGTATAGGATATTTGGACGACCCCACACATGGCCCAAGCTCCTTCTAACCTTCTGTGCCTCATACCCCTGCTTAATTCCAGCATCCCTCAGCTCTCACCTCATACATCACTTTTTGGGGAGGCCTTCCTTCACATCCCAATCAAGTCAACACTCCAGTTCAAATGTTCTCAAAATGCTCCATTTCTCCTTCAGAGATCACAGTTTAATTCATTTTAAGAATTGTTTTGAGTCACTATCCCCCAAATGAATGTGAGACTTTGACAGAGGGGGCTGCCTCTGTATCTCCAGCACCCAGCACAGCACCTGGCCCCTTTGCAAAGGGCTCAATAAATTGTTGAATGAGTGAATCCCATCTTCAAGAGAAATAGCTCTTTTCTGATTGTTCCTTATTTATTTGTTATCCTAAATTTTCCTACCATTAATTCAAGTGAAAGTAATTCATTTTAATGTGGTCTGTATAGCTACTTTTTATTTATTTCAAAAAAGAAATACTTTATTTCTTAAGATAACTTGAGAACAGGTTATTCATACATTAGAAATAGGGCTAGGGGCCATGGCTCATGCCTGTAATCCCAGCACTTTGGGAGGCCGAGGTAGGAGGATTGCTTGAGGCCAGGAGTTTGAGACCAGCCTGGGCACAAAGTGAGACCTGTGTCTCTTTAAAAAAAATTTTAAAAATTAGCTGGGTATAGTGGTGCTTGCCTGTAGTGGCGCACCTTTAAACCCTGACCTGTCTGGCTAAAGTATTTCATGAAGCCTGTAGTCCAGATACTTGGGAGGGTGAGGTAAGAGGATCACTTGAGCCCAGGAGTTCGAGGCTGTGGTGAGTGATGATTGCGCCAGTGCACTCCAGGCTAGGTGACAGAGTGAAACCTTGTCTCAGAAAAAAAAAAGAAAGAAAGAAAAAGAAATAGCTGCAGATTATTGATCTCCACCTTTTTGCAATAAGATTTTATTCTAGCATCCTTCTCCTTGCTGCCCATGTGCCCATTGGCTTTTCAGCTTTGTTTTTGAGAGAAAATATGAACACACACCCCTCCACTTGAGTTGTAGTATACTCACTATACAGGCCAAAGGTAACGTTTAGCTTCATAAAATTCCATCTGAACATAGACAATCATTGTCCAAAACTCACAGTCAAGAATTGTGATTGTTTGCCTTCCATTGGTTGGGTTGATTCCAACAAGACCTTTGCTACTTAAAATAGGGTCCCAGCATCAGGAACACATTAGCATCACTTGGAAGTTGTTAGAAATGCAGAATCTTAGTCCCCATCTCAGACCAAAGAATTAGAATATGTGCTTTAATAAGATACCTCAGTGACACACATGCAAAGAAAAGTTTCAGAAATGCTGGATTATCAAGCTGTTCAAAGTTTGTGGTTCTTCTGAGTAAAGCAGAGTACTCATGGCTGGGTCTGGAAAAGCTTTTCTCTTACAACTCTTCATGAAATCTTAACTGAATGTGAAAAGGCTAAAAAAAGGTTTAGTTAGTAATTTTCCAAGTAATCATGTTCGACAGGCCTGTATACTGCTTACAAAATTCGCATTGGTCTTATTTCTCTGATGAATGCCACATACTCACTTCTCTTTACCTGTTTCATGTTTGCATAGGTCCAGCAAAGGTATGTCTGGTTGGTCAGTATCACTGAGCTGTGGCCATGTTTAGAGGCTCATTCCTAGAAAAATCAATTAACTTTCAATTAGCAATTAACTTTCATTGCAAACGAAATGAAACAAAACAAAGAAAACCACCTTTAAACCTTGACCTGTCTGGCTAAAGCATTTCATGAAGCCATGGAAAACCACACGGTAAAGGATAAAGGATGGGTAAGTATTGAATATACTACAGATGTAGATTAGTGAAGAGAAAGGATAACTTACCTCTTTCATGGGCGATCAACTCACAAGAGCTCCTCATATGATGACAGCTGGTGGCTGGAATCAGCTCACTTTTGAAGCTCTGATTCCTCCCTAAGCAAGCAAGCAATCATGTGGTGTGTGTGTGTGTGTGTGTGTGTGTGTGTGTGTGTGTTGTTGTTGTTGATGGTTTCCTTTTCCAGAAAAAAAAAAGATAACTAAATTAGATTTCTTACCATTATCATTTTTATATTAGTTTAGATATAAAAAGCCAGGTTTCTGAAGATTTGACTACCATTAAACAAGATGAAAAAGACTTGATAGACCAAATAATGGTGAGGTTGTAGGCAAAACTAAAGGCTGCCCTTTTATATCCAGTCAGCCAAATTGCCCTCCCAACACTGGATGTCACAGACTCTAAACCAAATAATGAAATGTTACAGCTGGCAGAGCTCGTAAAAATCTAGTCTAACACCTTATTTGTTCATGATGTAGTGTAGATGACACTAAGAAATTAAAGTGACTGGCTATCAAACCAAAAACTAGCATCTGGGTCTTCTGATTTGGAATCAAGCATTATGATTGTCTGAACCGCTCTATACACAAAACATAATACCTCTCCTTATGGAAAAACAGCAACAAAACAACAAAAATACATAAGGGCAGGGACTGTGACTGTTTATCGCTTGATCTCAGATAGCAGAAAATCATGTATTTACTAGCACTCAATAAATACTTGTTGAATGACTTGCAACAGATGAAGATTTGTTAAATATCTACAGAGGGTAATTATCTACTGTAGATATTAGTTATATTACAAGTACATATTACTATATAATTATATATTACTATAATTAGGCAGTATATGGGGGCATGTTTACATTATTACTTTCATTTTATACTACTTTATTATCACTACCATTATTATTATTATTATTGTTGTTGTTATCAGAGTCGTATACAGCTAACACATAAGGCAAAGATAGAGGTCATCATTTTCCCTCATTTGGGAAAGAAGAAAAGGAAGACTGCTAGAAACTGGGTGTATATCATTCCTTGGAACCTGTAGATTTCTGGCTCTGCCTTTTACTGCCATTTACAACCAACCCTGGCACATAATAAATGCTAGATAAATGGCAGCTGTGAGTATCACCACTGCTGTTGTCACCATGTTACCATCATGGCTTTGTGCCAAGCCTAGTGCTCCATCTTTTCTTTTTAATTTTTTTGGGGGACTTGAGGGGACGAGGTCTTGCTTTGTTGCCCAGACTGTTGTCTCAAATTCCTGGGCTCAAGCGATCCTGCCTCGGCCTCCCAAAGTTCTGGGATTACAGGCTTGAGCCACAACACCCGGCCACCTGCTCCATCTTGATTTTCCCCTGACCCACATGGATCCCATGAATCTACCATAACAACTACTTCTCCCTAGGTGGACTGACCTCTCTGAACTTTGGCACTCACATTTTACATAGATTACAAAGCACCTGCTTAGTCTCCTCCTGTCTAGTCAAATTACCAAGAACAATTTTCAGGTTTTGGATTTTTTTTTTTAATCGAGTTTGTGAGACCCAATACAAATAAATTAACATGTACATCAGGCACTAGAGCAACAGACAGACACAGAGGAGAGAATGAATATATCTGAGTGTAGGACCCCAAAGAGGGCTGAACTGATCCTGACACCAGCAGGGACCCAGGAACCTTCTAAGCCAACTTTTCCCGAGGAATATTCCTCAGTTACTTCCTTTGTATCCACATAGCACTTATGTTAGTGGCATTTAGACCAAGTCAGAGGATTCCTACAAATTCAGAGGGCTTTTTTTTTCCTTTTCTTTTGTTGGTAAGAGAAAAAATATATTTTAATGATTCAATCAAGGCAAGTTTTAGGGGTACAGGTC
The DNA here is from genome assembly GCF_000001405.40 of Homo sapiens. Classification (NCBI taxonomy): domain Eukaryota; kingdom Metazoa; phylum Chordata; class Mammalia; order Primates; family Hominidae; genus Homo; species Homo sapiens. The sequence continues at coordinate 33,803,212 of NC_000011.10, read as the reverse complement.
ACGTTTGGCCATGTGCTTGACTGTTTTAGAAGTCACAAGACGGGGTCACAATGAATATATCAATCAGGATGTCTATGGACCCAAGCCTCACATGATATGTTATAGAAGGTAACTGACACCTTCCATAACAATTACACAGAGTGATAAAAGAACAGAGTAATAATAGTGATAACAGCAGCCATGTAAGCTCTGGTTCCAGCAAATTCAGGACATTTGGAAGCTCCTGAGGAGGCAGTGTGGGGCTGGGGACCAGATCCCAGATCTAGTCTGAGTTCCTGCTGACCTAGTCTCTGCAATTCCCTGAAAGCCATTCCAGGTTTTCCCATTGGGCCATAAACCTGCCAGGGTTTTTTGTTTGGAGAAGTAGTGAATTCCAGGCCAGATTTTTCTCTCAACCCATCAGCTGGGGCTGTGAGCCCAACTGCAGCCTTAGCCCGCGCTTTGCTTCTGCTGCACTGGGTTGACTCAGCCAACCTCCCGGGTTGCGAGCGATGAGCAGCCTCAATACCCGGTTTCTCTGTCTGCAGCGGGTTTACCTCTCTTTCAAATGGCCCGCTTGCTTTGGGGCTTCAATGCTGGCAGAGTCCCTGCCACTCCTTCACCCTCAATCCCAGATATTAGAGCAGACTACCAACAGCTTGGTTCCTGAACTCCAGGCGGCTTCAGCTACCCTTGGGCTTGCAGGCACCGGGATCCCGGTCACCCAGTCTCCAGCCCGACTTGTCAGCTGACAGGACCCTTAGGAAGGAATGTTTCCCACCACTTCCAAAAATTAGAGACCACTTGGATGTGTGCCTTTGTGATTAGAACTGTCACGAAAGGGCCAAGGACCCCACTAGGACCACACACCAGGACAAATAGAGTTCATGCGGGAAAGCTAGGACAGGGCAGGCAGGACCTCCTCCCCACCCCGCCTTGTCACACAGAGAGATGCGCACTCTGCACTTAGGTCTGTGAAAACAGCTCCTTGAAAATCAACAAAAGGCGGAGGAAACGAATCTTCAGGGCAAGCTGCATTTGTTCCTCCTTAATCAAAGTAGTGCCTTTCTTACCTCCAGGGCTTTACCAGCACAAACAACATTTCATTAATCTTTGTAACCCCACCAATACTGAGAAAGTAAAAATCAGCGCTGCCATTCATCAGGCTACGATAACAGACAGATAAAGCCAGCCGCAAAGTTAATAGCCAACGATATTTCTCCCAAGGACACACTGCTGCTGAAAGGTGCCGTATGACCCCCTTCTTAGAGTGACAACAGCTTTCTTAATGAGTAACCCTGTCCTCTGACATGGGAGACTTTCAAAATTTTGCTGTTTGAAATTACATCAGTAACAATGAAACATCCCACTCTTACCTGGGGGAACTAAGAGAAGCGACCTTGATTTACCGCCCCGGCGCAGAGGTTCAGATAAAGGTTTCTGGACACAGTATTGGCATTTTCTTAATAGTGTCCAAGGAAATATGATCCCGTGTCCATTTCAGTCCAGACCTGATGATAACCCTTTTATACTCACACCGCATTGCTTAACACACATTAAAACACTCCTTCATTTAATTTTACAAAGACTCCATCTTTTCCAGAACTTTTATAGTTAACTATTTCTTCCTTCATTTGTCGAGAAGTTCCATGATTCTTCCACTATGTGATTTTTCTTATTGCAATCAGCCAAAAAACAAACAAACAAACAAAAACTGACTTTTCAGACTACAGATTTGTCCCTAGTTGTCTTAGGCTAAGTGGGCCATGACAGTACCAAGCACAGGGACTTGCATTTAATAGCGATGTACCTACTTCTGATGGATTCATAAACAGTCCATGTGGACTGTGAAATACATGAAGATATGGTGTAATTATATAGAGACTGGCAGTGTTCATTATCCTAAGTGAGTGTATTGCCTTTTTCAACTATTATCTAAGTGTTTTACTGAGAAAGTGAGGTATATGAGAAAATGACAAATTTATTTGTTTATAAAGTATACAATTCAGTGGTTTTTAGTGTAGCCACAGAATTGTGGAATCATAACCACTAACTCGAAGACTTTTTTTTTTTTTTTTTTTTTGAGACAGTTTCGCTCTCGTTGCCCAGGCTGGAGTGCAATGGCGCAACCTCGTCTCACTACAACCTCCGTCTCCCAGGTTCAAGAGATTCTCCTTCCTCAGCCTCCTGAGTAGCTGGGATTACAGGTGCCTGCCACCACACCCGGCTAAGTTTTTGTATTTTTAGTAGAGACGGAGTTTCACCATGTTGGCCTGGCTGGTCTCGAACTCCTGACCTCAGGTGATTCACCCGCCTCAGTCTCCCAAAGTGCTGGGATAGCAGGTGTGAGCCACCCCGCCAGGCCCGGGACATTTTTATCACGCCAAAAAGAAACCCCATAACTATTAGCAGTCACCCCTGATTCCTTCCTTCCCATGTCCCCTGGCAACCACAAAACTACTTTCTGTCTCCAGGGATCTACCCTTTCTGGACATTTCATTTAAACGGAAGCACATAATATGTGGCCTTTTGTGACTGACATCTTTCACTTAGCATAATGTTTTCAAAATTCATCCATCAAAAAAAAAAAAACCGGCTCATCCACGTTATAGCACGTATCAGTTCTTCATTTCTTTCTCTTTCTCTTTTTTTTTTTTTTTACCAAATAATATTCCACTGTATGGCTATGCTACATTTTCTTTCATCTATTCATCAGTTGATGTACATTTGAGTTGCTTCCACTTTTTGGTTATTATGAATAATGCTGCTATGAACATCTGTGTACAAGTTTTTGTACGAACATATGTTTTCCATTCTCTTGGGCATATATTTAGAAGTAGAATTGCTGGATCATATGCTAACTCTATATTTAATTTTTCAGGAACTTCCAAACTGTTTCTCAAAGTGACTAACAATTTTATATTCCTACCAGTAGTATATGGGTGTTCCAATTTCTTCACATCCTCCTCAACTCTTTTTATCTGTCTTTTTTACTATAGCCATCCTAGTGTGTGAAATTATGTCTTGTCATGTTTTTACTTGCATTTCCTTAGTCACTAATGATATCGAGCATCATTGGCCACCTTTGGAGAAATGTCTATTCCTTTGATCAGTGTTTAACTAGGTTGTCTTTTTATTGTAGAGTTGTAAGAGAATTTCTTTTCCTTTTCTTTTTTTCTCTTTTCTTTCTTTCATCTCATTCTGCTGGAGTGTAGTGGCACAATCATAGCTCACTGTAACCTAAAAGTCCTGGGCTCAAGTGATCTTCCTTACTCAGCCTCTCAAATAGCTAGGACTGCAGGCATGCACACCATGCCTGGCTATCAAAATTTTTTTTGTAGGGATGGGGGTCTCACTATGTTGCCCAGGCTGGCCTCAAACTCCTGGCCTCAAATGATCCTCCCAACTCAGCCTCCCAAAGCACTGGGATTATAAGCATGCGCCACTGTACCTGGCCTGTAAGAGTTCTTTATATATTCTGGATACAAGCCCCTATTAGGTATTTTGCAAATATTCTTTTTACTATATTTGGTCTCTATATTTGACCAATATATTCTCCCAATACATTAGCTGTTTCACTTTTTTCATAGTGTCCATTAAAGTGCAAAAGTTTTAAGTTTTGATGAAGTCCTACTTATCTTTTATTTTTCTTTCATTGCTCATGGTTTTGGTGTCATATCTAAGAATTCATTGCCAAGATCATGAAGATTTACCTTTACGTTTTCTTTTAAAGGTGTTTTGGTTTTAGCACTTATATCTGGGTCACTGATCCATTTTTAGGTTTTTGGTTTTGTTTGTTTGTTTTTGTTTTTGTTTTTGTTTTGTATATGTTGTGGTAAGGGTCCTGCCTCATTCTTTTGCATGTATATATCCAGTTGTCCCAGCAGGATTTGTTGAAAATATTATTCTTCCTCCATTGAATTGTTTTGGCAAAGTTATACTTTGTTAAAAATTCAAAATGTATGAGTTTCTTTCTAGATTCTCAGTTGTAGTACATGATCTACATAACTGTCCTTATTTCAATAACACACTTTTGTATTTCAATAGTTTTATGGTACAGGTGGTTTTTGGTTACATGAATAAGTTCTTTAGTTGTGATTTCTGAGATTTTAGTGCACCTGTTATTCTAGCACACTTTTTTTTATTATTGCTGTAGCTTTCCAATAAGTTTTGAAATCAGGATGTGTGAAGTTTCCAACTTTATTCTTCTTTTTCAAGATTATTTTGGCTATTTCAGGTCCCTGGAAGTTTCATATAAATTTTAAGATCAGTTTGTCAATTTATCTAAAGAAGCCATCTGAGATTTTGATAGAGATTGTACTGAATCTGTAGATCAGTTTGGGAAGTATTGCCATCTTAATAATAACTACTTTATTTCATGGGTGATATGTCTTTCCAGTTATTTGGATCTTCTGGAATCTATTTCAATGACATTTTATAGTTTTCAGTAAACAAGTCTTATATTTCTTTTGTTAAATTTATTCCTAAGTATTTCATTTTGATGTCATTTTGTTTTATTTTCATTTCTGTATTGTCTATTGCTAATACATAGCAATACAATTTCTTTTTGTATATTGATCTTGTATCCTGGCACTTTGCTGACCCAGCTCAATAGCTATATTTGTTTTTTGTGTAGATTCCTCAGGATTTACTATATACAAGATCATGTAGTCTGCTAATAGAGACAGTTATACTTCATCCTTTCTAACCTAGAAACCTTTTTTTTCCTTGTCTTTTCCCTGACTGAAACCCCCAGTGCTATATTGAGTAGAATTCATGAGAGTGGATATTCTTGTCTTGTTGCTGCTGAGAAAAGCTTTCGGTCTTTCATTATTAAGCACAGTGTTTGCTTTGGGGTTTTCATAGATGCCCTTTATGAGGTTGAGGAAGTTTCCTTCTATTCCTAATTTGATAAGTGGTTTTGTGGTTTTTGTTTGGTTTGGTTTTGTTTTAGCATAAAATGGTGTTGGATTTTGTTGGGTTACATTTTTCCACATCTACTGAGATGATCTTGTCATTTTGCCCTTTATTCTATTAATTAGTGTATTAGATTAATTGATTTTCATATATTGAACCAACCTTGCAATCCTGAGATAAATCCCACTTGGTAACGGTTTATAATCCTTGTATGTGTTCCTGGATTTAGTTTGCCGGCGTTTTATTTTTTATCACTCAAATGGACACAGTATAGTTTGCTAGGATTTTATTGAGAATTTTTGCATCTATATTCACAACAGTGTTAATCTGAAGTTTTCTTGTGATATCTTTTTCTGGTTTTGGTACAATTTGGTACTTTCTATGAGGCCAGTATTATTCTGGCCTCATAGAATGAGTTGTTACCTCCTCTTCTATTTTTTGGAAGGGTTTATGAAGGATTGGTGACAATTGTAAACATTTGGTAGAATATACCAGTTATGTTATCTGGTTCTGGGATCTTCTTTGTTGGCAATTTTTTTTAATTGCTAATTCAATCATTTTACCTGTTATAAGTCTATTCAGATTTTAATTTATTTTCCAGTCAGTTTCAGTAGTGATGTCTTTCTAGAAAGCTGTCCATTTCATCTAAATTATGGAATTTGCTGGCCTACAGTTCATAATATTCTGTCACCCAGGCTGGAGTGCAGTGGTGTGGCTAATTTTTTGCATTTTCAGTAGAGACAGGGTTTCACCGTGTTAGCCAGGATGGTCTCGATCTCCTGACCTCGTGATCCACCCACCTCGGCCTCCCAAAGTGCTGGGCTTACAGACGTGAGCCACTGCACCCAGCCCATAGTATTCTTTTTATAATCTTTATTTGTGTCGGGTTGATGGTAATGTCCTCTCTTTCATTCTTGATTGTAGTAATTTGAGTCTTCCTGTTTCCAAGTTAGTCTGTGAAAGGTTTGCCAACTTTGTTGATCATTCAAATAATAACTTTGTTTTCTTGATTTTTCTCTACTGTTTTTCTATTTATCTTATTTATTTTATAACTCTTATTTCCTCTCTTATGCTTGTTTTGGGTTTAGTTTGCTCCCTTTCTAGTTTCTTAATGTGGAAAGTTAGATTATTATTATTTTTGTACTTGATATCCATCCCCACATCACCCCCATCCCCACCTTCTTACTACCCTTCCCAGACTCTGGTAACCATCCTTCTACTCTCTATCTCTGTGAGTCCAGTTGTTTTGATTTTTAGATCCCACAAATAAGTGAGAACACGTGATGTTTGTAGTACTGTCTTGCTTATCTCACTTAGCATAATGACCTCCAGTTCTGTCCTTGTTGCTGTAAATGACAGGATCTCATTCTTTTTTATAGTTGAATAGTACTCCGTTATGTATACATACATTTTCTTTATCCATTCATCTGTTCACAGACACTTGGGTTGCTTCCAAATCTTGGCTATTGTGATGTGTTTCAACAAACATGGAAGTACAGATACATATTCAGTACACTGATTTCCCTTCTGTTGAGTATATACCCAGCAGTGGGATTGCTGGATCATACCCAGCAGTGGGATTGCTGGATCATACGGTAGCTCTATTTTCAGTTTTTTTGAAGAACCTCCAAATTGTTCTCCATAGTGGTACTAATTTACATTCCCACCGATAAAGTACAAGTGTTCCCTTTTCTCCACATCCTCGCCAGCCTTTTTTATTGCCTGACTTTTGGATAAAAGCCATTTTAACTGAGGTGAGATGATATCTGATTGTAGTTTTGATTCGCATTTCTCTGATGATCAATGATATTGAGCACCTTTTCATATGCCTATTTGCCATTTGTATGTCTTCTTTTGAGAACTGTCTGTTTAAATCTTTTGCTCATTTTAAAAATCAGATCATTAAATTTTTTTCCTATAGAGCTGTTTGAGCTCCTTCTATATGCTAGTTTTAATCCCTGTCGGATGGGTAGTTGCAAATATTTTCTCCCAATCTGTAGGTTGTTTCTTCACTTTATTGATTGTTTCCTTTGCTGTGAAGAAGCTTTTTAACTTGATGTTATCACATTTGTCCATTTTTGCTTTGCTTACCTGTGCTTATGGGATATTTATTACTCAAGAAATTTTTGCCCAGACATGGCCAGATGTGATGGCTCATGCCTGTAATCCCAGACTTTTGGGAGGCTGAGGCAGGCGCATTGCTTGAGCCCAGGAGTTTGAGACCACCCTGGGCAACATGGCAAAACCCCATCTCTACCAAAAAAGTACACAAATTAGCCAGGCGTGGTGATGCATGTCTGTAGTACATCAACTCCCTCCAACTACTTGGGAGGCTGAGGCAGGAGGATCGCTTGAGCCCAGGAGGTTGTGGTTGCAGTGAGCCATGAGCATGCCACTGTACTCCAGCCTGGGTGACAGAGTGAGACCCTGTCTCAAAAAAAAAAAAAGAATTTTTTGCCCCGACAAATTTCCCTAATGTTTTCTTGTAGTAGTTTCATAGTTTAAGGTCTTAGATTTAAGTCTTTAATCCATTTTGATTTGATTTTTGAATATGAGGAGAAATAGGGGTCTAGTTTCATTCTTCTGCATATGCAGTGATTGCTTTCTAATTTCATTCCATTATGGTCTGAGAACATACTTTGTATTATTTCAATCTTTTAAAATTTATTGAGATTTGTTTTATGGTCTATACTGGAGAATGTTTCATGAGAAGAATGTGTATTCTAGTATTCTCGGGGGAGTATTCTATAGATGTCTGTTAAGTCTTGTTTATTTGTGTGTTGCTTAAGTCTTCTATTTCTTGTTAATATTCTGTCTAGTTGTCTTGTCTAGTGTTGAAAGTCAGGTACTGAAATCTTCAACTATTATTGTAGAAATGTTCATTTCTTCTTTCAGTTCTATCAGTTTTTGCTTCATAGGTTTTAAGGCTGTTAGGTGCATACATGTTTATAATATTTCTATCTTTTTAATGGATTAATCCTTAATTGTTATAAATTGTATTTGTCTCTAGAACAATTTTTGCCTTAAAATCCATTTTGTCTGTTATTAATACAATCACTCCAGCTCTCTTTCGGTTATTTTTCCTTAGTATAGCTTTCCATTCTTTTACTTTCAACCTATTTGTTTGTTTGGTTCTAAAGTGTTCTCTTTAGTCATAATATGGTTGGATCATGTTTGTTTGTTTTTTAGTCCTTTCTGCCAATCTCTGCCTTTTAATTGGAATGTTTAATCCATTTATATTTAATCCAGTTATGGATACAGTAGGATTTATGCCTGCCATTTTGCTGTTTGTTTTATACAAGTCCTGTATCTTTTTAAAATTCCTCTAGCCTCTGATTTTTCTTTATTCATGTGATCTCAGAGCCATTTACTGAAAAAATTCAAACTTTCCTTCACTGATCTGTTATAGCACCTTCACCATATATTACATTGTCCATATATTCCTATTGCTTTTCTGAGCTGTCTATTCTAACGCATTAGTGTATTTTTTTCTATCTCTACGACAATACTGCCCTGAATTAATTGTTATAGATTTATATCTGGTAGGGCAATTCTCCCCATCATATTCATTTTCATCAAGAGTATTTTGGCGTTTTTTTGGACTAGTGCTTTTTCATCCAAATATTTAAATAAGCTTGCCAAATTTTACCAAAATATCCATTGAGATTTGTATTTTTATTGTTGGATGTTCAGATCAATTTGTGATCATTTATATTTCTATGATATGGAGTTTTTAAATCAATTTATTTGTAGTAAGTTAAAAAGTTATAGCTCTTCATTTATTTAGGTATTTTAAAATGCCTTTTATTGGTTTTATAATTTTTTCCAATAATTCTTGCATAAGTTTTGTTAGATTTCTTTCCAGGTTCTATTTTTCATTGCTATTGTAAATGTTACCTTTTTAAATTTCAGCTTTCTAATTGTGTGGTTTATGTATAGAAATATATATTTTTTTCTTTTTGAGACAGAGTCTCACTCTGTTTCCCAGGCTGGAGTGCAGTGGCACAATCTTGGCTCACTGCAGCCTCTGCTGCCTCCCGGGTTCAAATGATTCTTGTGCCTCAGCTCTGAGTAGCTGGGACTACAGGCATGCACCACCATGCCCAGCTAATTTATTTGTATTTTTAGTAGAGATGGGGTTTCACCATGTTGTCTAGGCTGATCTTGAACTCCTGAGCTCAGGCAATCTGCCTACCTTGGGCTCCCAAAGTGCTAGGATTACAGGCATGAGCCACTGTGCCTGGCCTAGAAATATAATTTAATATATTGATTTTATATTCAGGAAACTGAAGATGCACTCATAGTAACTAACATTTTTATGTAGATTCTTTTGGGTTTTCAAAACACATAATGATATAATCTGCAAATTATACAGTTTTATTTCTTCTTTCCAATATCTTTTACCATATATTTTATTTTCTTGCCTTACTTCACTGACTATTTAGTACAATGTTGAATTTAAGCAGTGATAGTGGACATTCCTGTCTCATTCCCAGTCTCAAAGGGAATGTTTCCAATATTTCATCATAAATATGTTAGACACAAAAGACTATCTATTGTATGAGTCCAGGCATAGGACATTCTAGAAAAGGCATAACTCATCTATAGTGACCGCAGATCAGCAGTTGCTTGGGGCTGAGGCTTGGGGAGGAACTGGCAGCAAAGAGGCACAAAGGAATTCTCTGAGGGTATTGAAAATGTAGAACATTGTGATAATGGTTACACAGGCTTATACACCTGTCAAAACTCATTGAACTGAAAGCATAATATTGTATATAAATTATACCTCAATAGAGTTGGTTAAAGCACCCTAAGAAAGCTTTCTTCTCTCTACTGTACTGTATATACAAAAAGGTTTTGGGACTCTCACCATATACATGTGATTCTATTTCAGGTTTCTTCATTCTGTTTCATGGATCTGTCATTTATTTCACTAATACCACACTGTCTTGATAATTGCAGCTTTTTTTTTTTTTTTTTTTTTTTTTTGAGATGGAGTCTCACTCTGTTACCCAGGCTGGAGTGTAGTGGTGCAATCTTGGCCCGCTGCAACCTCTGCCTCCCAGGTTTATGCCTACATAAAGCGATTCTCCTGCCTCAGCCTCCCAAGTAGCTGGAACTACAGGTACCTGCCACCACGTCCGGCTAACTTTAGGTATTTTTAATAGAGACAGGGTTTTACCATGTTGGCCAGGCTAGTCTCAAACTCCTGACCTCAAGTGATCCACCTGCCTTGGCCTCCCAAAGTGCTGGGATTGCAGCCATGAGCCACCGCGTCCAGTCTGACTGCAGCTTTTATTAAGTCCTGAAGTTAAGACCTCCAGACTTTTTCTTTCTGAAGATTGTTTTGGCTATTCTAGGTCCTTTGCCTTTTTGACTAAATTTTAAATTCAGTTTGTCAATTTCTATGTATGGAATATATTTTTGTTACACAAATCAAATTTGCTGTTGCCTTTCCCTGAGGAGAATAGGTCTCTCCTAGGACAGCTTCACCTTGTTTCCTTCAAGGAGGCAGCATGGTAGAACAGGAAGAGGAGGTGCTTTGGAGATGGATCCATCATGTGTTTCCAGCACACTGCTTCCTGATTTTGTCTCTTTAAGCATGTCTCTTGGCGTCTCTGAGACTCAACTTCACTAACTACAAAATATGAGTATGGGGAGCTATTCTAAACTTTTCTCTAAAGGGGCGGGACACTATACTCAAAGCTGCCTTGGTTAATATTGCTCTCCCTTTGTCTCTAGCATTGGGCAGAGCACAGTGCTCCATCAACCTTCATTCCTGCCATTAAGCAGTGTCAATTTGCATTCCCTTTCACGTTCTCTTTCCTCTGATCCTTTTGTAGAAGGATTCCTCCACTTCCCACGTACAGTTTTTGTTTCCTTCTTTACACTCTGGTGCCACCTAGGACATATTATTATTCAAGCAATCACCACATGTGTTAGTCCATTCTTGCATTGCTATAAAGAAATGCCTAGGACTGGGCAATTTATAAATAAAAGAGGTTTAGTTGTCTCACAGTTCTGCAGGCTGTACAGGAAGCATAGTGGCATCTGCTTCTGGGGAGACCTCAGGAAGCTTCTGATCATGGCGGAAGGTGAAGGGGGAGGAGTTGTCTTACACAGCAGGAGCAAGAGAGAATGAGGTGGGGAGGTGCTACATAAACAACCAGATCTCATGAGAACTTACTATCTATCATGAGAACAGTACCAACAAGGATGGTGCTAAACCATGCATGAGAATTCTGCCACCATGATCCAATCACCTCCCACCAGGCCCCACCTCCAATGTTGGGGATTACATTCCATTATGAGATTTGGGTTGGGACACACATCCAAACTATATCACCAAATATATTATAGTTGTTTCTTTACTTCTGTGGCACTTTTAGGTAGAGACTTTATTATTCTATTTTGTAATTTCATGTTTATTTCATAGAATGGCTTCTCTCAGCTTGATAGAATACACATATTTTCTGCACAACTGCACTAGAAGCGTCTTGTGAGCAAGGTCTTGTTCTCTACTTTTTTTGTTTCCCTCATAACATTTATGCTTTTAAATACTTGTTATGTGAATGACATTTAGTTAGGATCATGGGAGTCATAAAAAATGAATCAACAATAGCTGTGATGTTGAGGTACTGAGTATTATTCAGAAACTATTTCAGGGGTTTATTTCAAGGGGAAATAATAAGACCCGCTAAAATAGACTGCAGGTTGGAATCACAGTGTTTTAGAACTGGAGGGAATAGTCATGATTATCTCTTTCTTCTCCCTCATGTGGGAGGATACTGAAGCCCAGAGAGGTGTGACTTTCCCAAGGTCATGGGTCATCAAATGCCCAGGGAGGACTAGATTCTAGCTCTTCCAACTTTCTAGCAGTCAGAATCCCCTTCTTGTCCTACTCAAAAAAAAAAAAAAAAAAGAAAAAAGAAAAATGGCCAGCCTAGGGTTGAGGTTCATCCTTTTCAGCAAGCTTGGGACCATGAAGTCTCAATGTAGCCAGTGCACTCTATAGTAGCCATGAAATGATAGATGCTGGCCTCAAATACCTTAACCAACCCAGCATTAGTAAAGAGCTGCCCTCCTGAACCATAATTGTCTTGTAGTTCTAAAAGCTTTAATACCTCTTCTTCCAAAATTATAAAATGACCAGTTACCACCACAACAAAACAACACAAATGTATAAAAAGAACTAACCATCTTTTTTCATTCCCTTTTATTTTTCTCACTCATCTTTTCTAGAATCTCCCCCTCTCCATCCCCAGGGCACTAGTTTTAACTGCTACCTTTTTCTATCTTCTATGCTTTTACAAACATACATCTCACACATACATATACACATAGTGAGAGGATATGATTGTTTCTTCTCCCTCAAGATAGAATCATACTAAATTTAGAAGTTTGCATTTTGAAAACACTTATAACAACAAAGATAAAATACCTTTTTGGAAAGAGAAGTGATACGGACATTATTTTTCTTATTCTATACTTATTATATAAAATACTGAAACTTAGTCATGGGATAGTCAACAGATAAATTCCTAAATATTTAAAATTAATGAAAAGATTTCCATATGGCTTTAACAGACTTTCCATTATTTGACCACACTTGGATCCATGCAATATATTCTTTTCATCGGATAAAGTAGGTATTAAATATATCTTTGCATGCTAACACCATCAGCTCATTACAGATAAGATATAAAATGACACATTTAATTTCTAGGAAGTTCATTTTCCATCATAATTGCTACAAATATAAAGCAGGCTCTAAAAATAGATTGCCTGAATCAAAAGAATTCTACCTCTAAAAGAAAGCACATTATTTAAAACGATAAAGCTGTATAGTTAATAGTCCCATAGATGTCTAGAACTGATTAGGCATGAAAAATAATTCCAGCACTTTAAAAACAATCCCCAACTGTTACCACCACACCTAGACTTCACTCCCTCTCTACAAGCATTTCGCTTGGCAAAATCCTACCATCCCATAATGCTCAACTCAGCTGTCACATTCTCTGCGAAGCTTTCCTTCACTGGCCTGACCTCCACTAAATTAATCACTTCCACCTTTGTACTTTCATGACACTCTGCTGAGACTGATTTTATCCTGGTTAATCCCACTGTGAATGTCAAGTTTTTCTTGCCTGCTGAACTGTCAGCAAAACATGAGAGTGTTCCATGTGGTCCCTCTTCCTTTGAGCACGCACACATGCACACACACATACACACACGGAGCAAGATATTGAACTTATCCATCAATTCCACTATTTCCTACCCCCAATTCCTTCCATATTGCCTTTACCTTAATTTATCTATATATTGCTTCCCCCGAGTATATTTGTTCTTTGCTAACTTGAGTGGGATGCTTTGTATATTTACTTTTCTTTTTTTTTAATACAGAAAATATTCAAGTTTTAAATTTGCTTGTAGGTGCAGTTTTGGCAGAAAAATTTTAAAAAATTATTATATGCCATTCTGGTTGTCATTCCTGTCAAATAATTTTGTAATGTCAGTTTTAATTTCTTCTTTGACCAAAGAGTTTTTAAGAGGATGCCTTTACTTGTTTGTTTTTTGAGGTCAAACGGTTGGGCTTTGGGGATTACATATTTATTATTCATTTCTGGTTTTACTATATTTGGGTCAGAGAATGTGGTCTATACTACTTCTACATCTGGAACTCAATATTTTGTCTGCGGCTATTTTGGGGAGCCAATTAGAAATATGTGACAAACTAAAAAATTCTGCAACTTTTGACCCAGCAATGCCACACCTAAAATGTATGCAGTGAGCATAACTCATTGAAACAATTCACAAAAAATGAATGTTTAAAGATACTTATTACTGCGTTATTATAAAAATTTCTAAATTTCTCACAATAAGAGACTGATTAAATAAAATAGGATGCATTCATATTAAGGAACACTCTTATAGTCATTAATAATGATAATGTAAGTGAATATTTCCTAAGAAGGAAAATACTTCACAATTTGTTAAAAATACAAGCTGTAGAATAATAAAAGAATAACCATTTTTAAAAAATTTGTACATTTTTTTTTTCTTTCTTTTTTTTTTTTTTGAGACAGATTCTGATTCTGTCACCCAGGCTGGAGTGCAGTGGTGCCATCTCGGTTCTCTGCAACTTCCGCCTCCCGGGTTCAAGCAATTCTCCCACCTCAGCCTCCTGAGTAGTTGGGATTACAGGTGCCCGCCACCACGCCCAGCTAATTTTTGTATTTTTAGTAGAGACGGGGTTTTGCCATATTGACTAGGCTGGTCTTGAACTCCTGACCTCAGGTGATCCACCCACCTTGGCATCCCAAAATGCTGGGATTACAGGTGTGAGCCGCCACACCCAGCCACATTGTACATTTCTTATATGTCTATGTTTATATGAGGAAAACACACAACTAAGATTTCATGGGACTTGGGGAAGGCACAGTATTTTTTCTTTATATATTACTATGAATTATTTGTGTAATAAAAAGAAGTGTTTGTTGAAGAAATAGAAGTTTCCAGAAGGCCTAAACTGCTAAGTAAGGAGGTTTGGTAATACTCTGTGATCAACAAAATGCTATAACAGATTTTTTTGAAAGCAAGGGACTGACATGATGAAAGCATTGCTTTAGGAAGATTAATACTATAGACATGTATTTTTTTCTTTTTATTTTTATTTTACTTTAAGTTCTAGGATAAAAGTGCACAACATGCAGGTTTGTTACATAGGTATACGTGTGCCATGGTGGGTTTGCCACACCTATCAACCCATCATCAAGGTTTTAAGCCCTGCATACATTAGCTATTTGTCCTAATGCTCTCCCTCCCCTCTCCCCGACCCTGCAACAGGCCCTGGTGTGTGATGTTCCCCTCCCTGTGTCCATGTATTCTCATCATTCAACTCCCACCTATAAGTGAGAACATGCAGTTTTTGGTTTTCTGTTCCTGTGTTTGCTGAGGATGATGGTTTCCAGCTTCATCCATGTCCCTGCAAAGGACATGATCTCATTCCTTTTTATGGCTGCATAGTATTCCATGGTGTATATGACATGTACATTTTTTAACAAATAGACAAATGTCAGCCTGTAATTGAAAGAGAGTAATCAGGAAGCTGTTCTGATAGCCTGAATAAAAGGAAATAAGATGAAGGGGGGTGGTAACGGAAAGAGTCAAGGTACATTTATTATAAAGAAAGCCTTGATTGCAAGGTTAACCCACACACAAACTGTGGGTTAACCACTGATAACTTCCACTGTTTCACAAAGCCCACTTCAAAAACTGAGTGATATGGGAGAGGCAGACATGTGTTTCAGGAGACGGGAAGGTTATTTCCACTGTGTACAAGTGGATGCTGCTTTGGACACTGATGGACAGAGCCATTGCACTGGAAAATAATTTTTTATTTTCATGATAGCCTACCGTTGAATTTACCATTCTGATATTAATGAAACATCTCTATAAAGGGTTGAAGTGTCTTCCTGCAACAATTGCTAAGGAACAGAATTGTCAATTTATTAATAAAATATGACATGTGTTGAACAAGAGAAGCTGGGTCAAGCATTTGAGGATGCTTTTGAGGTTCTGAGGCAACATTCAACTGGAGATCTTCAGTACTCGCCAGATTACAAAAATTACCTGGCTTTAATCAACCATCGTCCTCATGTCAAAGGAAATTCCAGCTGCTATGGAGTGTTGCCTACAGAGGAGCCTGTCTATAATTGGAGAATGGTAATTAACAGTGCTGCGGACTTCTATTTTGAAGGAAATATTCATCAATCTCTGCAGAACATAACTGAAAACCAGCTGGTACAACCCACTGTTCTCCAGCAAAAGGGGAAAAGGCAGGAAGAAGCTCTGACTGTTTGAATACCTTCACGAATCCCTGTGTAATCCAGAGATGGCATCTTGTTTTCAGTGGGTAGATATAACCAAAGGCATCTTTCAGTTTGTATCAAAAAACAAAGAAAAACTTGCCGAGCTCTGGGGGAAAACAAAAGGCAACAAGGAGACCATGACTTACCAGAAAATGGCCAGGGCACTGAGAAATTACAGAGGAAGTGGGGAAATTACCAAAATCTGGAGGAAGCTGACTTAGCATTTCAGTGAGGCCATTCTCCAAAGACTCTCTCCATCCTATTTCCTGGGGAAAGAGATCTTCTACTCACAATGTGTTCAACCTGATCAAGAATATCTCAGTTTAAATAACTGTAATGCAAATTATAATTATACATATGCCAATTACCATGAGCTAAATCACCGTGATTGCTAAATATACTCTCATATTTCATGGTTTACTGTAATCAAAAATCCCTACAAGTCTTAAGGATTTCTCTCTCTCTCTCTTTTTTCCCTCCTCTGAAGAAATTTAGGATTTTTCTCTTAAAGCAAATACTAAAGAGGAAAAAAATTAACTATATTGTTGCTTTTATCAAAGAGCATGTAATCTATACTAACTTGTTGGGAAATTCTGCCAATGAACAACTTTTTTATAATACTTTGTGAAGATTCAGTGAACAACTTTATTGTTTCAAATGATCAAGCACATTTGAAAGTATAGACTAAATGTCCTTGCTCTGCTCTTACTATTCTCTTTTAAAATTTTTATTTTTTTATTTTATTATTTTTAAAGAGGTGTCAGCCAAGATAATCTTTTATTTTTATGGATTTAGGAGTACAAGTGCAGTTTTGTTGCTTTGATATATTGCATAGTGGTGAAGTATATTGTGTAGCATCCTCATCACCAGAATAGTGAACATTGTACCCAATAGGTAGGATTTCATCCCTCATCCCTCTGCCATCCTCCCACCTTTTGGAGCCTCCAGGGTCTATTACTCCATTCTGTATGTCCATGGCTAAGCTCCCAACTATACCCACTTTATTTTATTTTAAAAATTGTTTTCTTTTTCTGCATACTTCAATGGATGCAAAGTCTTTTTCTTTTTTCTTCTTTTCTTTTCACAGACGATGACTTCTTTTTGTTTGTTTGTTTGTTTGTTTTTGGCTACTAACTCCCAAGCTCAACACTGACAGTGACTTATATTTTTAATTTTTTTAAGAGGCAAAGCCTACCTCTGAAGCTCTTTTTTCTTTTCCCACTTCAATAAGCTGATCTAAATTTTTGTTATTCTCTATGCAACCACCTTCTTCTAGATTAACAGTGCCAGTACAGATGATTTTATTTATATATTGATTTCAGCGTTTTCTTGTCATGTACTCAGGTGAGAAAATTCACACCTTTATATCTGATGGCTTTACAAAAAAATTTTGTCAATGACTGCATATGATAAAGCCTTTGTGCCAAAATGGGTTCATGGCTTTAAAAACATCACTAGAAATGTCTATTCAGGTTCCTTACACATTTTTTTCTTTCCTTCTCTTTTATCTTACCCATTTTTACAACTTAAAGCTTTTTTTTTTTTTGTGAGACAAGGTCTCACTCTGTCACCCATGCTCAAGTGCAGTGACACAAACATGGCTGAAGCCCAGCTAATTTTTTTTTTTTTTTGTAGAGATTGTTTTGCCGTGTTGCCCAGGCTGGTCTCTAACTCCTGGGCTCAGGCGATCTGCCCACCTTGGCCTTCAAAAGTGCTGGGATTACAGGTGTGAGCCACCGAGCTGGCCCCAAAACTTTTTTAATGTTTAAATTTTACCACTATATTAAGGAGGAGTTACCCATTTTTTTAATTGCCTTTTTTCTTCCTTCTTATTAGGGAGGGGTAAGGAAGAAGACTTGGTCAGCAGAAAGCAGGCCTTAATTGCTTTTTTGTTTGTTTGTTTCATTGCTATTGAGTTGTTTGAGTTCCTTATATGTATTGGATATTAACCCCTTGTCAGATGTCTGGCTTGCAAATATTTTCTCCCATTCCATAGGTTGTCTCTTTACTCTGGTGATTGTTTCCTTTGCTGTGCAGAAGCTTTTTAGTTTGTTTTAGCTACACATCATGAACTAAGAAGCTCTTTAGTTTGATGTAATACCATTTGTCTATATTTAATTTTGTCGTCCTTTTGGGATCAAATCCAAAATATCATTACCCATACCAATGTCTTGTATGTTTCCCCTATGTTTTCTTTCTTTCCTTTCTCTTTCTTTCCTTCCTTCCTTCCTTCTTTCAGCTGTCATCTGACCCCCCTATGTTTTCTTCAAGTAGTTTTAGGGTTCTTGGTCTTATGTTTAAGTCTTTTTTCTTTTCTTTTCTTTTCTTCTCTTCTCTTCTCTCTCTCTCTCTCTTTCTTTTTCTTGTTGACAATTTTCCTGAGCAAACTAATACAGGAATCTTTATGTTTTTAATCCATTTTGAATTGACTTTGGTATATAGTGTTGAAATAAGGGTCCAATTTTATTTTTCTGTTTGCCAAAATTCAGTTTTCCATATACCATTTATTGAATAAAGCTGTCTTTTTCTTTTTGGCAAAAAAAAAAAAAAAAACTG
Organism: Homo sapiens; assembly: GCF_000001405.40. Taxonomy (NCBI): domain Eukaryota; kingdom Metazoa; phylum Chordata; class Mammalia; order Primates; family Hominidae; genus Homo; species Homo sapiens. Next base: position 33,784,889 of record NC_000011.10, on the reverse strand, counting down.
AGTGATATAAGGAATAAGGCACCATGGGAGCTATCCAAAGCAAAGTCAGCGTCCATGTTCATCAAGGTGTCCTCGATCTGAGTTATGAGAACTCTCCATCCATTCCCTGAAGTCTAAATGGGAGGAGGGTATTGTTGCTTGTGTTAATTAATTATTTCTTGTGTCTTAGCTTGGGCCTACCCTTGCATAATCTCAGTGATGTGGGGCCTGGAAGGCTGAACACTACATTTCCCTGATGCTTTAACAAGCTGAGTTGCTTTTAGATACTGGGAGGTACTCATAGAAGAATGGAAAGCAGGGAGCGAGGAGGATTCTCTCGCTGTTTTTCAGCTTCTGCAGGCCTTCCTCTGAAGGTCCTCAGGCATTCTGAACCCCAGCCCCAGAGTTCCCTTTCAGTATCCAAAGCATTAGGTATGAGGTTGTCCCATATCAAAGGTCCAAGTACCAAACAAGAGGCACCCTCTTCAAGTAGGTCCTCTCTTCATAGGACATGTCCTGTATTTACTGATTGTGTCCTGTATCCTGTGTTGACTTTGTCAGGATGCCCTAAATGCCCTCTATTCATATCTTTCAGTAAACAACAAAATATTGCCAGTTAGAGCTACTTTTCTGCCATAGTAGTTAAATCTTAAGTAACCTAAACGCAACATAACTAAAACCCATACCTCTGCAAATAAAGTCCATATGGTCTCTACTGCAGATTTGGCTGAGAGTAGACCAAAAGTGGGGATTCAGAGGAAAAAGTACTGATTTTTCATATTCAAGGAAGGAAAAGATGAGGCAGGGTGCAGTGGCTCATGTCTGTAATCCCAGCACTTTGGGAGGCCGAGGCAGGTGGATCACCTGAGGCCAGGAGTTTGAGACCAGCCTGGCCAGCATGGTGAAACCCCGTCTCTACTAAAAATACAAAAATTAGCCAGGCATCATGGCGAGTGCCTGTAATCTTGGCTACTCAGGAGGCTGAAGCAGGAGAATCGCTTGAACTCGGGAGGCGGAGTTTGCAGTGAGCCTCGAGATTAAACCACTGCGCTCCAGTGTAGGCAACAGAGAGAGACTTCGTCTCAAAAAAAAAAAAAAAAGGAAAGAAAGGCAAAGATGATTATTTGGTCCAAGTCTCAAGTCATGAACAAGTAACCAGCATTAATTAGAGATCACTTATGGTCTGAAAAATCAACCAGTGACAGACTCACTCTAATAACCACATATCTAAAAGTCAGTAAATCACTGATAGCCCCAAGCTTGTGAAATTCAGCCAGTGACAGCCAGCAGATATTCAGTATACCAGCTCATAATGCTATGTTGAGCATGTTTTCTCAATAATGAATGTTCAGTGGGCAAAAGAATAAGTTGGCTATGAACACTGTATAAACTGTTACAATGTAAATGCAATATAGACAGTAAATGCAAGGAATTTTATAAACAAATTCTGCAAAACTAAGAAAACTTAAGGAGAGCCAAATCATCAGGGAAGTATAATTAAATAAAGAGGTAGGTAATTTATGTGCTTCTTCAGTTATTTCAGATAAAGAATGATTTTTATCATGCTTTATGTGGTATTCTTATTTTATTTCAAAGTATATATGCATAGGCAAGTACAAATAATTCAAATTTAATTTTTTTGGGGTTTTTTTTCCATTTTAGTTCAGTTATTTCCCTTGTTTTTTGTTGGTGGTGGTAATGCTGATGGCAGTGGTGGTGTGTGAGCCTGTGTGTGCCTGTGTGTGTGTGTGTGTGTCTGTGTCTGTGTGTGTGTGTGTGTGTGCACTAAATCTGGCAACCCTACCTTCAAGGTTTTGAGCATCTGCTGTGTGTTACCTGCCATGAGATACAAGCACCAGCTGTGAGGTGTCCTCTTTCAGAGATCTCAACGCCAACTTCGTGGGACCTCTCTTGAGAGAGCAGAGCATTAGGCCCTCAGGGAGCCCATGGCTCCTCTTTTTAGCCCTGAGGTTCTATAACCAAAGATCTTTTCCCCTTTGCTTCCACAGCCCTATGGTGAGAACTATTTCTGGCAGTCTGTCTTTGTTCAGGATGCTGTAACAAAATACTGTAGACTGGATAGCTTATAAACAACAGAAATCTGTTTCTCGCAATTCTGGAGGCTGGGAAGTCCAAGATCAAGGTGCCAAGCAGATTCACTGCTGAGGGCCCACTTCCTGGTTCATAGATAGTACCTTCTAGCTGTGCCCTCACGTGGTAGAAGAGGCAAGGCAGCTTTCTGGAGTTCCTTTTATAAGGGCACTAATCCTGTTAATGACCTAATCACCTGTCCAAGGCCCCATCTCCCAAAACCATCACTTTGGGGGTTAGGATTTCAACATATGCAGTTTGGAAGGACACAAACAGTCAGACCATAGCACTGTCTTGATTTCTGGATTAGCTCAGCATTCATCCTTTGCTCTTTCAACCTTCCCATATATGTTTAACAATTCCTTGTATTAAATCTCTTTTGAAATACCTAGCATGGTTTCTGTTCCCCTAAAGTACTTGGATACTCTCAACTGTGTGCTATTCCAAAAAAGAGTGTGAGGAGAGAGTGTCCTCTTTCTGATTATACTCTCCTCTGCCTGTTCCTCAAGTCCTGGGTGCCTAGTTGTTTGGCCAAGGCAGAAGGTAGTATGGTGCTGTGTAACTTGTAGCCCAAAACAGCTAAACCTACTAGGCTTGTAGACATCATCAGGTCACCGATGGACAGACTGGCACAGTTGGCCAAGAGTATGAGCTTTTTCAGTAACAGTGGCTACTATGTGTGTTGATGAAAGAATTCCTGGTTGGGTATCCCTGGTCTTTTGGGTGGTTCCATTACTGTGGTGAGTTAGAGCATAGATTCAATGGGCTGTGGTAGGTAGACATGATGCCCATATATGCTTGATCAGTCTTTTCAGGCAGCTGTTTTCCTCTAGATTTTGTCACTTATAATCTTTTCAATGGGGAGATCCCATAATTATGTCCCAAAGGCACATAATTAATATGTGCCTTTATTAATTCAGTCTTTAGGTGGCCCATGGCCTGACTAAATAGCTAGGCTATTACTGATGTTTCTGTGTGTGATGGCCATGGGAATATGCCACTCAGATCTCCTGCTGCAGGTAGCACAGTTGACAGACAATGCCAGTCTGCGGCTCACCATGCTTTTGCATCAAAACCATACCTCCCCTGGGCTGCTCCTAGCCAATGGCTGAGCATGGCAGGGGATTAGTGCAGGCCAATTCTGTGTGTCTCTGGACTTTCTACCAGGCAGCTTTGACTCAAGGACTCTCCACTGGCCTGTCTGAGACATTCTCAGAGCTGCAGTCCAACCCGAGACTCTCCCTGCCAAATCCGCCTTCTTTCATCTTCTCTTTTCACAGGTGTCAGACCTGCATCGTGGTCTGAAGGCACTCCTTGCCTACTCCTGCTTCCTCTCTTTTATCCTTCATAAGACTTTCCTGCCCTCTGCCCAGCCCCCGAATATATCTCTCATGAATCTAATCCTATCTTCACATTTGTTTTTTGGAGAATCCTAATTGACATATTGTGTAAAGGTTCATTTCCATCAATCTGGGAGCAGTATGCTCTACAGCCAAGAATAGCACCTGAAGTTTGGCCAATTATTCAGCATGCAAGCGTTGTGAGCCTCAGCAATTTATGGCATTGGTATTCCATGGAATTTGCCCATCTCAGAGACAAGCTATTTCAACAGTGAACCATGCTTCTTGTCAGATGCAAGTCTTGTCAAAGAGGCCCCAATAGGCCAACAGCTTAGGTTTAACAGTAGGTGGGTCTCTCCATGTCTAATGGGTGGGCAGCCACCTGTTGTTCCTGAAGTTGGCTAAGGTATTGGGGACCAGACTTGAACCTTGTAGGTTCAAGTTGTAGGTGCCATTGGTTGTAAGTGCCATTTCCATATTGCTACAGAACTTTCTGGGTATCTCAGTTCGGACAGGACCCAATGCAAAGTGACAATGTCAGGTGGCAAAGTCATCATTTTTCCTTTCAGTGACATTCTCTTTTTCCAGAAGGGGCTAGTTTCAGGCACAGCAGCAGAAGAAAGTCCTTGCAGGCTTGTCCTTGGTAAGAAGGTGGAGTCTCATTTCCAAAGCCTGTAATCACTGTGTGATTGATCATTGATATCTGTAATTCCATCTGAATAAGATAGGAGGCTCCAGGACAAGGTTTGCTTTACTGATGCCTGGATCACTTTCAAGGCTTCTTGCCATAGGTGTCCCCTTCTCAAATATAGTTAATTATTGGGTATATAAAGCCTGTTGTGGAATTTCCAGGTATAAAGGGTGATGTTTCCAAAACAGGCCAATCAGAGGTTAGGCATTCATCCCAACAGCAGCTAGTGGCCACAAGATTAGAACTTTGACTTTAATAGAGGATAGAATGTCTTTTTGGACTGTCGCACAAGAAGCCCCCAAAAAAGATGGGTGGCTGAATTGTTTCTTCTTCCTTGGAAGCCCATTCATCTTTGGTCAGCTTTTCTAAGCTGGAATGCAGTGGAGTTCATGTAGTACATTCGGTGGTGAGGTCATCGAGAGAGTGGAATGTTTGGCCCCAACCAGCAGTTCTCATTTTGTCAGCATTTGTTCAGCTCTCTGACAATGTACAATGTACTCCTGGGGAGTTTGTTACAGTACTGCTTGCCTTGGTGGATAAGGGCAAGTGATATCAGTCAGAGACCTCTCAAGAAACAGACAAAACATGCAAAGGAACATAACTAAACAGAATTCAGTGGGGACAATACTAAGAGAGTTATGAACCAGATAAGGGAACCAATGCGGGACAGTGAGGTGCCCAGGGATTAGTAATGGGGTGGGGGAGGGAAGCCGTTACCAACCCTGAAAAAGCAAGAGGCACAGTTCTAGCAGCTGGAGGGAGGGAACAGTATCATCAGAGCTGAGTGAGCTGGAGGTAGGAAAGAGGGCGCTGACAGGAGCTGTCTCCACCGAGGAACACAGCCCCAACCAAAATCCCAGGAGGTGGAGATGTATAAATACCTGAATGTCACTTTTCTCTGCCATTGTTCTCTCTTTGTTATCTGGCTTTCTCTTCCAGAAGCCAGATAACAAAGAAGCCCAGGTGAAGGAGTACCTAAAGATCAGCCTCCTAGGGCATGGAGAAGGGTAGAAAAGGTATAAAGAGTATTTTTTCTTTTTTTTTTTAAGCATTAGCTGGATGTGGTGGCACAAGCCTGTAGTTCTAGCTACTCAGAAGGCTGGGGTGTGAGGATCGCTTGAGTCCAGGAGATAGAGACCAGCCTAGACAACTGAGCCAGACCTTGTCTTTAAAAACAAAAACAAAACAAAACAAAAAACAAACCCCAGCATTAATCTATCCAAGCCTGCATGCCAAGTACCACTAATGGCACAATTCTAGTTCAGCCACTCATGATATCAGACACTATAAGAATAGTGGCCACTGACATGTTTAAGCCTCAACAGGGTACAGTAAGGTTCCATATACCAGTGGCTTCCCCAGCCCTATGGGGCTACGGAACTGGTGGATAGTGTTGTTCAGCACTCTGGCCTCTATTACGTCTCAGATAAGAATACTGCATTTTCTCTCCACCTGGTAGGAAGCATTGTTTCAATGATGCAATCTTGGCAGGCTTCAGGATTACAGGCCATTCTTGGTCACATCCTTAGCCCCATATTAGAAGCCACCAACAGGGGACACTTTAAATGTATCTTATCAGAAGATCCACTCATCATGCACCCAGAAGGTTCCTATCAATTATACAGGCTGCAAAAAAGCAAGAGACATGTCACAGACAAAAACAAAGAAACCAGACATTGGTTGGGCAAATTCAGAAATATTTAAAGTATCCCTTAAGGAAGGAGCAGGGAACCAAGTCCTAGAACTTAGTGTGTATAGCTGCTGGAACTGTGCCTATAAATCTCTTATATCTGGTCCAGGCTTCCCGTTAGCCGTGAGTTTGTCTGTGGTTTTGCTGCATAAGAGCAGCTAAATCCATTCCAGATTTTTGTGTCACCCCATCAGCCTGGCTGCTTTTCTGAGTGAGTAGCAGTAGCAGCCCCTAATCTCCACTCATCCCTGCAATTTTATCCTTCTCCCTGTTTTCAGCCATAAAGCGTAATTCTCCTGAATATTCCTGGGCTCCACAGGGGCGGGTCTCCTTTTTACCAATCACTGGCAGTCTTGCGGCCCAGGGTTTTCCTTGGGTGTCACACTTGTTTGGGGGAATTAGTGCCCAGCAGTCCCACCATGATCCTCCCACCCTTTTATCTTCTGGGTTCCCAAATGCGAGGGCTGCCTCAGCACAACCAGGATTGCTGACACTGGGGCTTGGGTGACAGGGCCCCCTGGGAGAGAATGCTTTTGTCCCTGGGAAGGCCCAGTTGGACAATGGGCAGTTCCAAAAACACTTAGCACCGAGGCAAAGTGGAGTTTAACCTTCATGCGTGCGACTGCCTTTCAGGGGCCACAGACACACACTACCAATGCCATGTGGTATAAATACAACTTGGGTGGGGGAGGGGGATACAAGCAGAGAAGGAGGAGCATGTAAGCAACCCCATTTCCCCATCCCACCATCCATCCCAGCCCCCAGCTTCCCTGTCCCGCTGAGAAATGTGCCTAGGCTGGGTTCATCTCGCAGAGTTCGATACAGAAGGATCTTAAACTCTGTTTTACAAATGCTGAGGTGGAAGCCGGGGATTCGGGGCACCTCTAGGCTGCCATTTAGTAGGAACTTCTAGAGCATCCTGTTTTGCCTCCAAGCTAACTCAGATCTGCTGAGGCAGCGAGTTGCTAAACCATGAAAACAGGTGAGAAAATGAGTCTCCAGGGCCATTTGAATTTGCCTCTCCCCAACCAAACCGTTAGGGAGTGTCTGTCACTTTCTCAAGGGCAGGTATGGCACTGTGTTCAGCTTGATCTCTCACAGTCCTGAGCCCGGATGCTTGTACTTGATAGGAGTTAATGTCTGAAGGATTTACCTAAACAGCCAGTGGGAACCTCAAAGCCGATGAAACTACGATTGATTACCAAGAGGTAGGGTGTTGTTGCTAGGAGCTACTCATCATAAATAAGATGCCACTGGGGTTCTAAAGGAAACACGTAAGACTGTGTATTTCTCAAGCATTGTCCCTCTCTACTCCTGAGAAAAGGAGAAACCTTTTTTTTAAAAAAAAAATTCTACATCTGAACCCTTCTGTTAGAACCTTCTGATTTCTTTTTAAAAAACATTTATTTATTTATTTAGAGACAGGGTCTCATTATGTCGCCCAGGCTGGAGTTCAGTGGCACGATCACGGTTCACTGCGGCCTCGACCTCCTAGGCTCAAGCTATCCTCCCACCTCAGCCTCCTGAGTAGCTGGGACTATAGGCATGCACCACCATGCCTGGCTTTTTTTTTTTTTTTTTTTTTGCAGACACAGGGTCTCTCCAGTGTGGTCTGGAACTCCTGGACTCAAGCAATCTGCCTACCTTGGCCTCCCAAGGTGTTGGGATTACAGGCGTGAGCTATCACGCCTGGCCTTAAAACCTTCTGCTTTCTGATCTACCATAGAAATTAAAATGATAAGCAAATACTATTTTAGTGAAACTCTTTAGAAACCAGCTTCCAAAACAATGAGCAAACTTGGAGGGACTGTTTCTTCCACCCAAGCTTAGCCCTGGGGATGTGAATAGCCAAATTCTGGACTCTCTCTTCCTACCTACCCCTTTTCCAGCCAGTATTGGGGGCAGGGTGGCAGGGGGTGGGGGAAGGGCAATAGGAAGCCCCAGCCCAGGAAAGGGCTCTCCTGGGTCCTGCCTACCTGCATTGCTCCCCCAACCTCTACCACATGCCTCATACCATGCTGGGGAGAAAAGTGGAGCCTGAGCCAAAGCCACCTCTCCAGAGGGGCCTGGGCTAGTGCAGCAGGGGATGGCAACCTGATGGCACTTTGCAAGGTAGGAAGTGGCAGGGCTTAGCAGCCTGGAAAAGAGGTGCTGAGAGCGCATGGCAGAAGCTGTAAGCCCAGCCACATGGGAGAAGCAAGTCTTCCACCTGGCCAGACGCGGTGGCTCATGCCTATAATCCCAGCACTTTGGGAGGCTGAGGCAGGTGGGTCACTTGAGGTCAGGAGTTCAAGACCAGCCTGACCAACATGGTGAAACCCTGTCTCTACTAAAAATACAAAAATTAGCTGGGTGTTGTGGTGTAGCTATAGTCTCAGCTACTCAGGAGGCTGAGGTAGGAAATTGGCTTGAGCCCAGGAGGCAGAAGTTGTAGTGAGCCGAAAGCATGTCACTGCACTCCAGCCTGGGCAACAGCAGAGAAACCCCGTTTCAAAAAACAAACTAACAAAACCATAAAAAGCATGTATTTAGTGCTGCGCATTGTTTTTTCTTTTTGCATCAGGCTCTAATATGGCTTACATGGCACTGTGGGATCCTGTTTTTGTTTAAGAGTTTGGTATTTTGTTCACTGTGAATTTTTTTTGCATTAATTTTTATTTTTAAAAATATTGCATTAAAATGTTATTTATTTGATTATTCAGTTTTTTGGCACCTCTTCTTAAATTTGTGCCCCAAGCAAGTAGCTTTCTTGCCTCACCTTAGTTCTGGCCCTGACAGTTTGGTAGCTTCATACTTTGTCTTCTGCATTAGGTCATAGCTGCACCAAGTCCAAGTGCAATAGGACAGCAGAAGCAAATGCAGTGTACCTGAAACTCCTACCAGCTTTTGGATTTAAAACAGGTGGCCCATCTGAAGTAGAAAATGGAGACAAACATAAATCAGGATCAAATACCTTTACAAGCATTTGTCTATGTAAAAAGGTATGGTTCCCTTGTAAACAGAAATGATTATTCTGTCTTCATTCATCCATTCAACCTGAATTTAAACTTTCTAGTTGTTGAATAACTTGCTAAGCCCTGAAATTAGAAAGATGAGTCAGACTGAGAGTTTACAGTTTGACGAGAGAGACACAGAACAAGTACTTGAAATCCAATTCAATAAATGTTCTTCTAAGCATATGCATAAACAATTTGGAAGCACAGAGATGTAGGCAGAGTTTTTTGTTGCTGTTGTTCTGTTTTGTTGGCTGGGTGGCAGGGGTTATAACTATTAAGCAAAACCATAAATAGAAGGCATTAATGGTATGAAGAATGGAGGAAATGGATTTTTTTGGGGCGGGGCATATCACTTCCACTCTTCCAAATAATTGAGAGAAACTTTCTCCAGGATATGGAAATGTTTGGAGAACTTAGTGACTGATGCATGTATAAGCTTGGAAAATTAACATTTATTGAGTATCTGGCCAGGCACTTTACATAAAGCGTTATCGCCATCCTTAGTTCACCAGAGGAGGGGTGGTTTTAGAGATGAGGGACAGTCTCAGAGAACTTAGGCGTAACTACGCCAGCATTTCACTAGTAGTGAAATAAATGACGGGCGTGTGAAGTCCAGGTCTGTCTGGATTCCCCAAAGCCCCTTACACCATACTACCTTTGGAAAAGCAATGGAAAAGAAGAAATCAGGCAAGTGATGTATGGACCCATTATACTTCCCCCACTCTCATTTTAATATCACCTTGGCAAAGCTGAAGAGCAGACATCTTCGTGCCTCCATCAGTTATGCCCTCTGGGAGTCTCAGTTCATCCCTTCACACGCGGGATACTTAACTCTGCGGGATCTAAACCCTGGCCAAAATAAATTTTAAAGCTGGAAAAAATCCACACTGTACCCTTTGCATTGCCCTAATAGGCTGAAAATAGCCATGATAACCAAATTAAGGGACAGCGGCTGAGACTCAGACTCACTCCTTGTACACATTTTACTTAGGAAGGCGGGGAGGGGCGTGAAGTTAAGCCCTCAACAATTATTTCCTTAATTTGGGAGAAGGGCCTTCAGCTGGCGTCCCTGGCTGATTCTCAGCTCTGCTCTTGCTGAGTGGACAAGTCTCGGAGCGGCCCTGCTGTGTGCGGGGGACAAGCGGGGTGGGGAAGGCTGAGCGGGGAAAACGAGGGGTTCTCGGGTTGGAAAACAAAGAGAAGGAATGGATTTGGGGACCAAGGGCGTGGAGGAGTGTCAGATTTTGAGCGAGGCTTCCTGCATACTGAGTGTAAAATTTCGCAGGAGGAGTTGGGCAGACCGAGGCAGATTTGGCAACAAAAGGGTCCCGGGCTGGGCAAGTTTACGAACCGGGATGCGAGAACAGAGCTGGAGAGATTTGACGCGGAGCGCGAAGAAAGCGGGCTGAACTCGCACTGCGCCGCTGGCTCCCGGCTAGCGGGCGGGGTCTCCAGGGAGCCGCACCTCAGCCCACCCTGAGGGCGGGGCTGGCCCGGCGGTTACATAACAAACCTGTGAGAGCGGCTGGGGGCGGTTCGGGCGCTGGTGGGGGCGGGGCAGGGGCGGGGCCAGGGCGGGGCCAGACCTGCACCGGGCCAGGCAAGATGGCGGCCATGGAGACCGAGACGGCGCCGCTGACCCTAGAGTCGCTGCCCACCGATCCCCTGCTCCTCATCTTATCCTTTTTGGACTATCGGGATCTAATCAAGTAATGGGACGACACGCATGGCAGGGGTGGGGGCATGGGGAGAGGAGGCGGTGAGGCAGGGGGAAAGGGGGTCGGGGCCGCTGACAGGACCCGAGCTTCCGCGACACCAGAAGGTGACGCCAGGGCCGCCCTCATCCTGCGGAGCCACCGGGGACCGGGGCGAGACGGGGGCGGAAAGGGCCTCGCCCTGAGTCTTCCTCCTGTCCTGGGCCCAGGTATGAGAAGCGACGAGATATCTCTCTCCCAGGCCTCGGTGAGGCCCACTTGCAAGAGAAGGAGGTAGTGGCCCTCGTGCCGCACCGCCGCGCTCCGCGGACCCCCGCTGGCCCCGCAGGTGCCCGCCCGGTTGGGGTCAGTCCCTGCTGCTGTGTAAAAGCCCCTGTCCCGGCCAGGCGCTCTTCTCTGCTGGGTCCGGGGCCTGCGGAGTCTGGCGCCGGGGTGGGCAGGTGGGTGAGCGAGAGGAGAAGATAGGCAACCCCTTACTCCCCTGGCGCGACTTCCCCAGCGCCAGAATCGCTGTCCGGGCTCACTTTCGGACTTCAGTGCGTGAGAATTGTTTTGCTGTCAGCATTGCTCCTTACGGTTCGATGTTGGATTTTATGTTTTGGTACTGACTTCCGGTGATGCCATACCGGTGACTATCTTTTCTCCTGGACACCTTGGGTTTCCCACATTACTAGCATCTGTTCCAGAAATAAACACCGGTTGCTGATAAGGGTGGTTCAATGCCCAGTTTCTTCAGAACTTGGGACTGTCTGGGGTGGTGGAAGAAATGGCGCTGCCAGCCCGCCCCCCAGCTGTCAGGATTGTTTACACCCTTGACAGGGGGTGGCATGGCTGTGAGTTTCCTGTGCTACCGTATATATTTGCAGAGGATGCAAAGTCGCCCTCTTAGGATAGGTGGGCGAGATTTGTTTTGTGTTTGGATTAACCATTAGATTCTAGCCATTTGATGATTGTGCCCTGTGTTATTAGAGGTCTTTTTATAAATACAGATTTCTTGGAGCTACAGATAGTTGTTGGCCTAGCTAAGTGGTGATAGAGAGATACCTCAAGTTTTTGGTCACTACCTGTACTGGTCGCTACCTGTACCTGCTAGCAATTTTATTTTTCTAGAAAATACTTACAATTTAACTAACAGTCTCCAACTTTTGATTGCTGCCAGAGTAATCTTTCCAAGACACATCTGGTTGTCATTCTCCTTAAAACCTGTGACACCCCTATGTTTATAGACTATAACCTAAACTTCTGGGGCATTGAAAGCTCTTATCATCTGGCTTGTATATCTAAGGTCCTCCAGGACTTATTTCTCCACCACTATCACATTTGCACCATCCATTCTAACCAAATCAGACCTCTGCCAGCATACAACACACTTGCACTTTCTTTTTTTTTTTTTTTCCTGTGGCTCAAGCTCTCGACCTTGCCTGGAATGCCTTGCCTACCTCTTCTCAACTTGGCAAGGTGGAGAAGATGCCCTCTCTACCTTCTTCCTGCAGAATTGATTTGCCATGTCAGGTAGATGGCGTGCTTCTTGATTGTAAGGGCTGCCTTGCTTATCTTCCTATTCAAAGATTTTTTTTTCCCCGAGGGCTTGCTATGTGCCAGTCTGTTAAGTGTTGAGGGTACAGTAGTGAACAACGCAGATAAGGCAACTCTTATGGAGCTTACAGTCCAGTGGGCAAGCGCATAATTGCAAGAGGTACTAAGTGCTGTGAAGGAAATAGATTGCTCTGTTAAGGAATAGGAAGTGAGAAGTGATCAAATCGGAAGGAGCTGCCATATATGAAGCAGGGCATATGCAGTTCTGGCAGAGGGAAAAGTATGTTCAGAGATTGACGGGACTGCTGAACGGTACTGTTCAACAGCATGGCCTGGTGGAAGATACAGAAGGCTGGCGTTGCTGGAGGTAGGGAGTGACTCACAGACAGTGATGAGATGAGGGTGGTGAGATCATGCAGGACCTTGGGAACCAAGGTGAGGAAGTAAGAGTTTACTTTAAATGCTTTAGGTAGTAATCACAATTTTAAACAGAAGTGACATGATCCCTCTGTAAATGTCTGTGGAAATAAATTGAGTTGAATACCATTTGAATTTTATCTACAGAAAAGTATCCAGTGTATTGCAGCTTTTTTCCTGCACCATACAGCCCAATTTTGTCAAGGGTCTAGTCTAGTGATAAGCTCTGAAGTTTTTGGTATTATTTGCTGAACTGGATTGGGTTGGATTGGATTAGTACACTGGAATCATGTAGCATCAGTTGCCTAGTTTGAATTGAGATGATCTGATACCCTCTCCATTTCAGAGTGATTTATTCTGAAATGGAGTGAATAAATGCCACACTGTGCGTCAGAATGACCTGTGCATCAGAATGGCCTGTGGCACTTTTTAAACATACAGATGCCTGAGGTACAGATCTCAGTCCAAACCGACTGGATCAGAATCTCTAGAACAGTAGTTTTCACTCTCGATGTGCATTGAATTCATCTTTCATGCATATTCCAGATTCTTTTATGTCATTTAGCTCCTAGGGCAGTGGAGGGACAGGAATCAAGAAGAGGGTATGGAAACTGAATGCACAAAACTGGAGGGATTCCTATGTTTACAAAAGTTAATTTGGGCATCTCCTGAGCTTGGCAGAAAAGGATGAGGATGATGTTTCTGTAAAATCTGAAAATCAAACAAAGGCAATTTTGTTTACTATAGATGGTTTTTAACACACCTTAGTCATGGCCTTGACAAACCTGATGTGATTTAAGATTCTGTTGATAGCTATTGCCCAAGTGAGATCTTTGAATACCTACTTTCAATTAATATAACTTGTAATTTCTCTCTGGAAAGGATAGAGTCCTAATCTTAGGTTCATTCTTTTTACAAATTAATTATGTAGGGTAGAATTTACAGGATTGCAACACTGTTGTGTTAGAAATCTTTATATAGTAAGAAAGTTATTTGCTTCTAACATTCGATGTTTTGGGGCAGCTGATAGCTTGTGTAGCCATGACTATTGAGTCAGAACTGTTACGATTCAGGCACCCTCTATAGGTGGACTTTCCAGTAGTTGCTTTAATGAAAACGTGGTTTTTGTGGCAATACTTTTTTCCTTTAAGTAAAAAATTTTAAAAAACAAAAATAAAAAGTCTGTGTATTTAGTAGCATACATCTTACAGATCTTGGGAAAAAACCCCAAGTCCCTTTGTTTATGACTAAATAACTTTCTTCCTATATGTAGAAATGAGTATTGTCCTGATAATAAGCATAGGACAACTCCTTGACTTGAGATTAACTCCAATGGCATATATGGTCTGTAGATATTTTTGTGAAAAATTACAGTTGTAGATGTTTCAGGGTTTATTTGTGAACTCAGTTTCACTACTAACAAGGCAATTATACTACTTAACATGTTAAACAGGTTTTAGAAAATAGTTTTGTAATTATAAGGGTAATAAGTGAAAAGTAAGAGAAACAAAAGGCATAAAACAAAACAATGAATATTTTAATCTTTATTTTTAAATTGTTTTCTTACTTTTTTAAATACTATCGGTGAATCTGGTTACTGCCAGCTGTTGTTATGTCAGTCGAAGACTTAGCCAGCTATCAAGTCATGATCCGCTGTGGAGAAGACATTGCAAAAAATACTGGCTGATATCTGAGTGAGTATTCGAGGAATATGTACTTCTGAAAACTGGCCCTTGGCTTCTTCCATAACACTAGTTTGTCCTGATTCTCCTCTCTAACCCTTGTCTCTTTATCTCCTTTGGTGGCTCTTCTCGTGCCTGCTAGTAAATGTTGGTATTTGCCAAGGTTCTGTCCTTAGCCCACTGCTGCTCTCCCTTGCTGAACTCTACTGCATGCATTGTTGCCGTTTATAGTGACTATCTGCATGCTCCTAACTCCCAAACCTGAATCTCCCTCCCTGACTTCCCCACTGAGGTCTAGAATTGTTTGCACAACTGTCTGCTGGACCTTTCTATTGGCTGTCCCACACTTATTAACTGGATTCAGTAAATGTTAACAAATTTGACAGAATCAAAGTACAGATGACAGAAAGTGGGAGTTGAGAAAGGTGGAAGAAATGAGTAGGAATGCTGATATCTTTTCTTAGATTAAGTGGAGTCAGGTAGTGACTAAAGTTGGTGAAGTAAGAAGCAGAGGTTTAAGCATATTATTTAAAGCTGCAAGCTTTAGACAGAAGTGAAAATTAATAACAGAGCTATCAAACATTGGGAGGAAAAAGAACAGGGTAAGGGGAATTTTAAGTATTGCTAGATCTTCCCGTGTTTCCCTTTGGGGTATCAGTAGATACATGTGAAGTTGATAAATCAAGAATTAGAGGCATAAACATTTAGAACTATAGAGGTAACTTCTAGAAATACCTAAGATTTCCTTTGAGGAGTTGGACTTAAAACAGGAGAATAGTTTTTCATCGTAAGTTCTTTGATACTTTTTAGTTTTAATAATCTATGTGTATATTATTTAGATTAATAAAAAGATGCTCCCCTTCCCTCTTCTACCCCCGCAAAAAAAAAAAAAAAAAAACCCACCCTGAGTTGTTCTTTTCCCCATTCCTAAACCTGTCCTTCAGCATTCCCAGTCTTCATAGCAGCATCATCCACTCAGGCATCCAGATCAGAATTAGGAGTCATCCTAGGCGTGTCTCTCTCTCTCTCCCCACTTCTCTCCCTCCTTCTATATTCATCACAAAGGCTTACCAAGCCTTTCTTACTAAGCTCGTTAGTATGTTACCTTAAGGCCGTCTGTGGCTGCCTTACCCTCTATCACTTCTGATTCTTAATTTTATACTTCATTCTTTCTCACTGGTTAGACTCTTACCTTTTTTGAAGGTAAAAAATGTGCCTTATTTTTTTATATCCTCAGTGGCTAAGTGGACACTCAATAAATGCTTGGGGAATTTTACCAAATAGGAATGTTGAATCATGTAATTACTTTCATGTTCTATGATTCTCAACTAATTCAGTGTAGATATGTGTTAGATTAATATTATTATATCACAAGATTCTAAGTATTCTCTAAAACAATACATAATGCCTTTAAAAGTTTATAATTGGTATATTTTTAAGAATAAGTTGAAATTTATACGTTATTACTATTCATATTTTATTAAAGATTAGAAAACTGAAAAAAAATAAGTAGAAAGAAAAGGAGAAAATGAGTGCCTAGCAATTCCACCATGCCAGTAGTAACTTTTGTTAAAATTTTTTTATGTATATATCACTTTTTGCTATCTGATCTTCATTTGTGGCTAAAATATAATGAAAAGGAAGGGAAAAGTACAAGTTTCTATATGTTGTAGGTATCTAAAATAAATGCTAATATTATTTTAAAAGATTTAAAATCTCATGTTTTTCATCTATTTAGGGAAGAGAAAACACAGAAGAATCAGTGTTGGAAATCTCTCTTCATAGATACTTACTCTGATGTAGGAAGATACATTGACCATTATGCTGCTATTAAAAAGGCCTGGGATGATCTCAAGAAATATTTGGAGCCCAGGTGTCCTCGGATGGTTTTATCTCTGAAAGGTACTGGGAATTCAGGGTCCCTTTCCCCGTTTCCATTACTGTTAGTATAAATAGGTTAGTTTAAACAACTTTGAATCTCTGTCATCTACGCAACTGTGTTAACCCAACTTTGTCTGTGATTTACTGTTCATATTTGGCCATGGAAGTAGGACCTTCACTCTAGTGCTTACCCTGTTTTTTCTCATCCTTGGGACCCACATGGTTATTTATCAGAAGGGAAAGCTGAACTTTTATCCTTATATTTGTTTTCTATTAAGAAAGTAGTAATGCTAAGATTGTGTGAGAGTAACTACGGTGATTTCTTTTAAAAGATTTTTTTTTAATTGTGAAATTTTGCCTACTGTATCAACACTGTTGATACAGTTTCAGTACAAGTTGATACTATTTTCAGTACAAGTAAATGTCTGATAGTCTAATATTCAGAAAGACCCTTGGTGTTTACCTGTGTAAGAGCAGCCTAGTAGAGTAAGGAAAACTTTTATCCTTATTTTGACATTTGCAAAATAGTAGAACTAAGATTTGAACTGAGGTCTGTTCAACTCCAGAATATGCTCTTTCTATTACACCATTATTGTCCAATTTTGGCAAGAAATATTAAGCTATTTCCATTAATTTGATTTAATTAATGATCATGAAAATAGACAGATTGTAGATTGATTGCTACTTACCTGCTTTACCCTCCAAGTTTTTTTCAGATTTCTACACTGAAAGGCATTGTATAGATGTTCGGTTTTGCTAAGCTAAAATTGGAATCAGTTCTTCTCAAATATTTTCTTCCCTTTAGAACTAAAGACTCTTTTGAAACAGTATTCCTTTTGCATTTTGTGTTTCCTCTCTAATTTCCCATGCAAATATTACTTTCATACAAATCACGGTTGCATGACGAGGTGCTTGAAACTGAATTGCTAAAAGGTAGAAGAAAGAATGATTTGGCAGAAAGAGTAGGGCTTTGAAGGAAAGTACCCTTGATTAATATTCTGAATAGCTCCTTTTCTTAGAAGAAACGAATAATACTATTTACTTGGTATGTAGGGTCGAATATTTCAAGAGGAAACTAAATCTGAAAATAGATATTTGGTGATGATAAGGTAAGGGCTTACAGTAGCTATTATTAATTAAACACAAAGCTAGGCACTGGCTAAGTATTTCTTGAGTATTACTCCATTTAATTGCAAAAGTCCTATGGGATAAATAATTACTATTCTCATTTTATAGGTGGATTACCCAAGGCATGAAAAACTAAGTAAGTTGTGGCCAGGCGCGGTGGCTCACGCCTATAATCCCAGCACTTTGGGAGGCCGAGGCGGGTGGATCACGAGGTCAGGAGATCGAGACCATCCTGGCTAACACAGTGAAACCTCGTCTCTACTAAAAATACAAAAAATTAGCCAGGCGTGGTGGCATGCGCCTGTAGTCCCAGCTACTCAGGAGGCTGAGGCAGGAGAATGGCGTGAACCCGGCAAGCGGAGCTTGCGGTGAGCCGAGATCGCGCCACTGCACTCCAGCCTGGGCGACAGAGCAAGACTCCATCTCAAAAAAACAAAACAAAACAAAAAAAAAACTAAGTTGTTTAACCATCACAAAGGAAAGGCAAAACCAGGATTTGGATATAGAGCAGACTCCAGGGCTATGATCTTAACATTGGCTGAAGGGAGACAGGACCTATCCTATTATGTTTGGAATGTCTTAGAATGTATATTGGACTAGAAGAGCTAGTTTAAATATTAGGACATTTGGAATATGATATGGTATATGGTTCTGCTCTTAGGCTCAGAGCTATCAAGAAGATAAAACTAAGGATATGTAACAGCTGCTGCTGCTGCTTGTTTTTCTTTTCCTTTTTTTTTTCTTTTTTTTTTTTTGGTGCATGAATTTTGGTAGTTCCAGGCTCCCTGTACTACCTAGCAGTTGGAAGTGAGGTTGTCAGATAATTCCTTGACAGCTCCTGTTTTACTCCACAGTGCCAGTTCTCTGGGGCTTTGCCATGAGTTGGAATAGGATAAAGGCTCTTTGATGTCTGCAGTGCTGTGGGTTCTTGGAACCCTAGGCTTACGAATTTTAAAACCAAGTCAGGAACCTAGCTGCTCACCTCAGCTGCCACAGTCTCTGATTCAATTGCAAGGTTATAGAGGTTGCAGATAAAAAGGAAAATCAGAAAGCAGATAGGCATTGGACTTGGAGAAATTTTTATGGAGCATCTTGAAATTAAGATATATTGTTGTCACATATTTTCAAATCTCATATTTACCTTAAGTTTTGGCTTAGAATTTTAGAGTTGGAAGGCAACTTAGAGACTGTTTAGACGAGGGGTTGGCAAACTTTTTCTTTAAAGGACCAGACAGTAAAATTTTAGGCTTTGTGGGACACATGGTCTCTGTCACAACTCTTCAACTCCGCTGTTGTTGTGGAAAAGCAGCCAAAGATGATGCATAAATAAATGAGTGTTGCTGTATTCCAATAAAACTTTATTCATTCAAGGAGGCAGCAGGCCAGGATTTGGAGTGTGGGCTATAATATGCCCATCCTGATTTATGCTAGTAAGTTGAAGAAACATACCCGGAGAGTTTAAGTGACTCATGCAAGGTATCAAACTAGTGACCAAGATACAACTCTAATCTAGGCTTCTTGGCTCCTCATAACTTTTTCACTGTTTCCTTCTATGAGTAGGTTAAGGGGAAAAGAAAGTAAATAAATATTTACTGAGTATGAGTAAAGCACTTTATTAATCCTCACTGTAATTCTCTAAGGTAGGTGGTATTATCCCCTTCTTGAGGATGAAGAAACAGGATTAAAGAGGTGAAATAGCTTGCTAGAAATCATGCAGTCAGTGTGTATCAGTCCATTCTTGCATTGCTATAAAGAAATGTCTGACTCTGGGTAATTTATAAGACAAGAGGTTTAATTGGTTCACGATTCTGCAGGCTGTACAAAAAGCATGGTGGCATCTGCTTCTGGGGAGGCCTCAGGGAGCTTTTACTCATGGGGAAAGCAAAGTATGAGCAGGCGTGTCACATGGCAAAAGCAAGATCAATAGGAAGAGGGGGAGGTACGGCACACTTTTAAATAGCCAGATCTCATGAGAAGTCACTCACTATCTTGAGGACAGCACCAAGGGAAGGATGCTAAACCATTCATGAGAAAAAATCCACCCCATGATCCAATCACCTCCCACCAGGCCCCCCTCCAATATTGGGGATTACAGTTCAACATTAGATTTGGGAGGGGACAAATATACAAACTATGTCAAAGCAGTAGAGCAAAGATTAACTCTAGTCTTTCTGCCTCCCAAATTCTATTACAGTTGGATACCTCTTTCAACCTTGATTTTACTGTATTGTAAACATACATTTCCTTTTAGTTTTCTTTTTGCCATGTCTATTTTTGTCTCTCTCTCTTCTTCAAGAAATTCTTAGTTTGTTAATGTTACATGTTAAGTGTCTAACATGTGGCACATACCATATAAATATTCGTTTCTTTCCTCATCCAGTAGTTCAGGTTGCCATTCAGCTTCGTTTCTTTTATACTAAAATTTCTCTTTTTTTAAAATGAACTTTTTATTTTGGAGTAATTTGAGATTTACAGAAAAGTTGCAAAGAGAGTTCAGAGAGTTCTATACACCCCTCACCCTTTACCCTTATATATCCCACTGTGGGACATTTATGAAAACTAAAACATCTTCATTGGCACATTACTATTAACTAAACTCCAGACTTCACTTGAATTTCCCCCGATTTTCCATTATTGTCCTTTTTCTGTTCCAGGATCCAGTCCGGAATACCACATTGCATTTAGTTGTCATGTCTCCTTGGTGTACTCTGATCTGTGGCAGTTTCTTTGTCTTTTATGACCTTGACAGTTTTTTTTGTTTGTTTGTTTTTGCTTTTGTTTTGAGACGGTCACTCAGGATGGAGTACAGTGGCATGATCTTGGCTCACTGCAACCTCTGCCTCCCAGGTTCAAGCGATTCTCCTGCCTCCGCCTCCCAAGTAGCTGGGACTACAGTCACGAACCACCACACCTGGCTAATTTTTGTATTTTTAGTAGAGACAGGGTTTCACCATGTTGGCCAGGCTGGTCTTGAACTCTTGACCACAAGTGATCTGCCCGTGTAGGCCTCCCAAAGTGCTGAGATTACAGATGGGAGCCACCGCACCCAGCACCTTGACAGTTTTGAGAGAGTACTTGTCAGGTATTTTGTATTAGGTTAGTGCAAAAGTAATTGCAGTTCCTCAAATCAGCTTCGTCTTGATATTTTACGGATGATTAGACTGGAGCTGGAGTTATGTTTTTTTTTTAGAAAGATAACTGCAGACGTGAAGTGCCCTTCTCCTCACATTATATCCAGCGGTACATGCTGTCACTAATGGTTTTAAGTAGCATACAGAAATAGGCACAAATTGTAAGTGCACAACTCATTGAATTATCACAAGGTAAACATGTCCATTGTAACACCCTCCAGATCAAGAAGTAGAATATTATCTGTACCTAGAAGCCCTCCTCATAGTCCTTCCCTCTTTCACAGAGGCAACCACTATTGTGATTGTTAATGCTATTGAGTAGTTTTCTTTTTTGAACTTTATGTAAGTTGTATGATTAAGTATTTTGTATGGATTATTTCTACTTTGTGAGATTCAATCTTTTTGAGTGTAACAGAGTTTGTTCATTTTGGCTGCAGTATAGTACTCCATTATCTGAGTAGACTATTCCTTCTACTGTTAATGGATATTTGGGTTATTTCTATTTCTGGCTATTACAAATAATGCTGTAAATTTTTATATACATTGTTGATGTCTCTATGAGTATATTTCTACTGGGTAAATATCTGGCATTGAGTTTGCTGGGTTATAGAGTTGCTTATGTTAAACTTCAAAAGATGGTGTTTATTTTTGAAAGTAGTTCTACCAATTTACATTCTTACCAGCACTTTAATGTTGTCATTCTTTTTATTTTAGCCTTTTTGGCAGGTGTATAGTGGTGGTTTTAATTTGCATTTCCCTAAGGATGTAGAATAATGACAGTTGTATTTCTATCTTTCCAAGCCTTATATATCATGTATTTCTTTTTCTTGCCTTACTGCACTGGCGAGGGCCTTCAGTACAGTGTTGGAGAGGAGTAATGATAGGATAGCGGGCATCCTTATCTTTCTGATTGCAGAGGGAAAGCTTTAAGCATTTCACCTTTAAATAAGATGTTTGCTGTAGGGTTTTTTTTTTTTTTTTTTTTTGTAGATATTCTTTATCAGATTGAAGATAGTCCCTCTGATCCTAGTTTGGGAAGAGGGTTTTTGTTTTTGTTTTTTAAATGGATAATTTCTATCAAATGCCTTGTCTGCATTATGATTCTCATGATTTTTCTCCTTACTCTGTTAATGCAGTGAAATGCATTAATTGCTTTTCTGAATGCTAAACCAACTTTGTATTCCTGGAATAATCCTACTTTGATTGTAATATATTATCTTTTTTATATGTACTGGATATAATCTGCTAGTATTTTATTGGAATTTTTACATCTATGTTCATGAGAGTTTGGCCTGTAATTTTCCTTTCTTGCAATGTTCTTGTCAGGTGTTGGTATCAAGATGATGCTGGCCTTATAAAACGAGTCGAGAAGTGTTGCCTCTTTTTCTGTTCCCTGGAAGAGTTTATGTAAGCTTGGTCTTATTTTTTGCTTAAATGATTAGTAGAATGCACCAGTGAAGCCATTCAATTCTGGAGTTTTCATTGTAGGAAAGTTTTAAATTATGGATTCAATTCCTTTATTAGATATAGGACTATTTTGATTTTCTATTTATTCTTATGTCAATTTTGATAAGTTGTTTTCTAGGAAATTGTCCACTTCATCTATTTTCAAATCTATTGACATGAAGTTTTTCATAATATCCTCTTATCTTTTTAGTGCTTGTTGGATCTGTGGTGATACCACCTTTTCCATTTCTAATATTAATTATTTATACTTTTGCTGTTTTTCTTCATCAATCTTGCTAGATGGGGTGAATTAATTTTATTAATCTTTTCAAAGAGCTGGCTTTTGCCTTTGCCAATCCTTTACTGTATGTTTGTTTTTTATTTCATTAATTTCTTTGATGTCTTCGCTTTGAATTTACTGTGATTTTTTTTTTTTTTCCTGACTTGGGATCATTGCTTAGATCATAGATTTTCAGCCTTTCTTATTTTTTTAAATGAATTTAGAGCTCTAAATTTCCCACTAAGCACATTAGTTTGTCCCATAAGTTTTAATACATTGTATTTTCATTACCATGCAGTTCAAAGTATTTTCTGATTTCTTTGATTTCTTCTTTAACCCATGAATGATATAGAAGTGTATTACTTAATTTCTAAATATTTTGGACTTTTAAAGTAATCTTTTAAATATAATTTATATTTTAATTCCACTGTGATCACAGGATATACTTTATGTGAGTTCAGTCATTTAAAATTTGTTAGGACTTATTCTGTGGTCCGGTATGTGATCTATTTTGGTCAGTGTTTTGTGTATACTTAAAAACAATGTATTTTCTGCAGTTACGGAGTTCAATACTGTATATATAATTAGGTAAAATTTGTTAATCTTGTTCAAATCTTCTACACTCTTACTGAATTGTGTATTTTGTCTGCCTGTTCTGTTAGTTATTGAGAGAAGTATGATAAAATCTATTGCTGTGGTAGGCAGAATTCTGAGATAGTCCCAAAATTCCCACCCACTGGTGTACATGCCTGGTATAATGATCTCTCCTTGAGTGTAGGTGGTACTGTGAAAATAACTGATTTTCTTCCATTAGATCATATTATATGAAAAAGGTGAAGGGATTTTGCATATGTAATTAAGGTCCCAAATTAGTTGAATTTGAGTTAATTATTAATCAAAAAGCAAATTATCCTGACTGGGCCCCACTTAATCAGATGAGCCTTTAAAAGGGACTGGGGGCCCTTCCAGAAGTCAGATTCAATGTGCCTCTCCTGTTGACTTTGAATAAGCAAGCTGGCATATTATGGAGAGGGCCACATGGTAGAGAATGGTGGGTGGCCTCCAGGAGCTGAGGGCCTCAGTCCTAAGGAATTGAATTCTGCCAACAACCAGTGAGCTTGGAAGAGGATCCTAAGCATACGATGCATAAGATGAGATAGCAGCCCCAGTTGATGCCATACTTTCAGCCTTTTGGGGCCTGAGCAGAGGATCCAGTTGAGTCATATCTAGACTCCTGACCTACAGAAACTGTGAAATAATAAGTGCTTTAAGCTGCTAATATTACAGCAGGAGAAAACTACAGCCACTGTGATCGTAGATATCTTTTCCCCATTTTATTTGTCATTTAAAAATATTTTTTAAAGCTCTTATTAGGTACATAAAATTAGAATTGTAACACCTGTGTAGTGAATTTAACCTTTTTGTTATTACGAAAAGTCCTCCATTAGCTCTAATAAAGTTGTTTGCCTTAAAGTCTCATTTCATGTGATTTTAGTAGAGCTACTCTAGCTTTGTTTTCTGTATTTACTTTAAGATGTGTCTTGTATATAATTTTTTGTTTTTTATCTGATCTGTTTGTCTTTTCATTAGATTATTTAGTCTATTCATATTTAATAGATTTACTAATGTGTTTGAGTTGAGCTATACCATGTTTCTGTTTTTCTATTTGTCCCACCTGTTCACTGTTCCATTTCTGTAATCTTCTTAATTATGTTTTATTCCATTCTCTTCTCCTTTCTTTTTTTAGTGATTATATTAGAGATTAAAACATTGCATCTTTGACTTTTTAAAGTCTAATGTAAATTAGTATTTTTTCCACTTCCTGGACAATGAAAGAACTTTAGAATGCTTTAACTCCAATCACCTCCTACCTGCCTTTTGATTTATTGTTTTTGTGATTTTGTTTTTTAACATATTTAATTTCCCTGAAAACATTCTTATTTTACATATTCAATATTCTTTTAGACTTACCTTCATATTTATCTTTTCTGGTTGCCCTTTATTCCTTCCTGTGTCTTCATGCTTCCATCTGGGATCACTTTCCTTCCACATGAAGAATTCCTTTTGGTATTTCTTCTAACTGCTGCTGCTGAATTTTTCTTTCATTTATCTAAAAATGTATTTATTTCATCTTCATTGTTGAAGATATATTCACTGGTTATAGGGTTTTGGTCAGCAGTGATTTTTCTTCATCAGTTTGAAGATATCATTCTTCTGACTTCTATTGTTTCTTTTCTTTTTAAAGACAGGGTCTTGCTTTGTTGCCCAGGCTGGAGTGCAGTGGCACAATCATAGCCCATTGCAGCCTCCAACTCCTGGGCTCAAACAATCCTTCCAGCTCAGTCTCCCGAGTAGCTGGGACTACAGGTGCGACACCATCCCTGGCTAATTTTTAAGGTTTTTTTTTTTATAGATGGGGTCTTGCTATGTTGCCCAGGCTGGTCTCGAACTCCTGGCCTCAAGCCACCCTCCCACCTCAGCCTCCCAAAGTGCTGGGATTACATGCATGAGCCACTGAGTCCAGCTAACTTCTATTGTTTCTGCAGAGAATTTAGCTGTCAGTCTTATTGTTTCTCTTTTGAAGGTAATTATACCCTCACTGCACCCACTACACTGCTTTTAAAATTTATCTTTGTCTTTGATTGTAGCAGTTTTCCAAGATGTATCTAGATAACTTTTCTTTGTAATTTTTCTCCATAGGGTTTATGGTGCTTCTGAATCATCGTTTGACATTTTCATCAATTTTGGAAAATTCTCTGCTGTTATCTCCAAATACTGCTTCTACTTCATTCTGCTTTTCCTCTCCCTCTGGGATTCTAGTGCACGTATCATAGACCTTTCTGCCATGTCCTCCCATATGTGTCTTAGGCTCTTTTTGTGTTTTTCCGTCCCTTTTTGTCTTCTGACCTGGCTTCCAGTTTATAATTCCCTCTTTAGCTTTAAAACTATGATTTGCTGTTAAACCCTTTCAGTGTATTCTTATTTTAGTTTTTGCATTTTTCAGCTCTAAGATTTCCATTTGATTCATTTTTATAGTTTCTAGTTCTCTGCTGAAATGCTCCATCTTCATTTAATTCATTGAATGTATCAGTTGTGGTTATTTTTAAGTCCATGTTTACTAACTCCAATAACGATGTATTATGGATTTGGTTCTATTTTCTATTTTTTCCTCTTTCTTTAGTCAGATCTTGTCTTGGTATAGGCCTAGTTGTTTTTAATTTATTGCTAGACATAATTTGAATTTTGGGGTAATGTTATTTTCTTCTAGAGATTACTTTTGCTTTTGGCTAGCAGCTAGTCAATGGGCAGATCACTGTAATGCAATCAGGGATTGACATGATTGAAAGCTGGGCTTTAGTCTTTGTGAGGACTAGTCTTATTTTCAGTTCATCCTTTTTCCTAGGATGTCAGTCAGAATCCTAGCCCAAAAACCTTGGGTTTTACCAGGTCCCTCTCTCCTTTGTGGACCCTGAACTCTGTTTGTTTTGCCCTCTAGCCCTGTGGTACTGCCTAAAGCTTTGCTCAGCTTCTTGGCCACTCAACCTCATATTTGCTTTCAGAATTGACAGCAATTCTTGTCTAAAGACAAGGTGGCTTCCGATGCCTGGCCCACCTCTCAGTCTCTCTCTTCTCCTGGACCCCTCTCCCCTACCGTTGTGACTCTTCGAAAGTCTTCAAGCCAATTTTTTGTTTTCACTATTCAGCAAGAGGTTTAGTCCAACAACCTGGTGGGCTGCTGCTGAATGTCGATCTCATCTCTTGGTATTTGTCATTATTTCCCACTTCTCAAAGCTAGAATATGTGGCAAGTTTACAAATATGCAAAATAGAGTTCAAGTTAATGGCCTCCTCACACATGAACCATACCTTATGTCCTATATTTCCCATTAAGAGTCAATGTTAAAACTCTTAAATAACATCAGTTTAGAGAACTTCCAGGGGTTTTGCTGTTTTTTTTTTTATTTTAAATAAAGCAGTATGAATATTTTAGATTTAGGAAATTTAGAGGTTTGTGTTATAATGTGAAAACATTATTGTGGATCTCATTGGTGCCCACTTTCCATGTTTTACTAAGTGCCAGTGTTTTCCCTGTTGGGAGGAAACTAAGAAATTTGCTTTCTCAGTGCTTCAAATTAGTTTTCAATTCATTTCCTTCTATTTCAGCCATATATTTTGGACAGAATTCACTCATTCCAAGATTGTTTCATTAGTTAGCAGATAGATTGCATTTCTTCTTAGATTTAAGGCTGTTTCTTCACAATTCACTCTTTTTTGTGCCTTTATAGAGGGTGCTCGAGAGGAAGACCTCGATGCTGTGGAAGCGCAGATTGGCTGCAAGCTTCCTGACGATTATCGATGTTCATACCGAATTCACAATGGACAGAAGTTAGTGGTTCCTGGGTAAGATATTCAATGTTTTGGTTATTTTTAATGATGCAAGTTATTTTTTAGAATGAAAGTAAATAAATTGTATTTGTAGTTACCCTTAACAAATTAAAGAAGCATGGGAATTCCCTCTTTCTCCTTTATAGCAATCCATAAGACAAAATCTATAGCTTGAATTAGATTTTACCAAAATAAATATATCTCATAAAAACACAATTTTTATCAATATATTTGTATAGTTAAAATGAAGTCTGGTATGGGATGGGGGATGGGACATACAGTAAAGGTATGTGCGATATATTTTAACCAAATTCTTCAGAACTCTTGAAATGTGTATCTTATTACAGGCCAGGCAAATTATTTTGGGAGCTTGACGCAAATTCTACCTACTATACATGTAAAGAGCAATCATTTGTCCAGAGCTGCATACACTACACTAAATAAAATTGTTTTGTCATATTAAACACAGTCTATAATTGAATGGCCTGTTTAAAATTTAATTCTAAAGAATGAAGTATTTATTGTGGAACTTTTTTTTTTTTTTTTGAGACAGGGTCTTGCTCGGTCCCCAAGCCTGGAGTATAGTAGCATGATCTCAGCTCACTGCAGCCTTGACTCCCCTGGCTCAAGCAATCCTGCCACCTCAGCTGTCCCAGTAGCTAGAAGTACAGGCGCACCACCATGCCCAGCTACTTTTTTGTATTTTTTGTAGAGATGGGGTCTTGTCATGTTGCCCAGGCTGGTCTTGAATTCCTGGGCTCAAAAAATTCCTGCCTCAGCCTCCAAAAGTGCTGGGATTACAGATGCAAACCACCCAGACTTTTTTTTTTTTTTTTTTTTTTTTTAAGAGATGGTGTCTTGGTGTGTTGCCAGGCTAGTGGTATTTAACTCCTGGGCTCAAGCAGTCCTCCTGCGTCTGCCTCCCAAGTAGCTGGGGCTACAAGCATATACCACTGTGCCTGGCTCAGCTTTTTTTTTTTTTTTTTAAGATTTGTTTTATAAACTTTTATTATTTTAAATTTTTATTTTTTTATTATTATTATTATTATTATTAGAGATGGGGTCTTACTATATTGCCCAGGCTGGTCTTGAACTCCTAGGCTCAAGGGATCCTCCTGCCTCAGCCTTCCAGCCACTATATCCACTTTACATTGTGGAACTTTTGGGTAAAAGTAGACCATGCAGTAGTCATCAAAACTCACCCACAGTTTTAGAAGGCATATATGCTTTGAATGGGTCTACTCCTTTTGTACTTTTATGAAAGTAAGCTATTTCAGAGACATTGTGCTTGTGAAATGCTAATAAGAATTTAAGGAGAACTTTGCACTGTTCTTATTGGAACCTGGTGTTCCTTTGTATGTGAAGAATCATGTGAGGCTCTGTTACAATTTCAGATGAGGGTTGAATGAGTACAGGGAATCCCAAAGGTGATCACATTGAGATTATAAGGTATTCAGAAGTCAAATCTTGGGGGCAGGGTGTGGTCGCTCACACCTGAAACTAGCTCTTTGGGATGCCAACGCAGGAGGACTCCTGAAGTCAGGAGTTCAAGACCAACCTGGGTAGCATAGCAAGATCCTGCCTGTCTCTATAAAAAATTAAGTTAAAAACAATTTGCCAGACTTGGTAGCATGCACTTATAGCTCCAGCTACTCAGGAGCTGTGGATCTCTTGAGCCCAGGAGTCTGAGGCTGCAGTAAGCACTGCACTCCAGCCTGGGTGACAGAACAAGATCCTGTCTCAAAAAAAAAGAAAGAAATCAAATACTAGGCATGGGTCAGACATAGAAGTCAGTTAGGACTAGATGACCCTAAATTATTGGCTATTTTTTCCTATTGAACTGAAACTTGACAAAGTTGAAAAACTGTCAGATTTTAAGAGCAAACAGGAGAGAACTTTGTTAGAAGAGTTGCCCAGAACTGACATGACCAATAGGTCATAAATTGCAACACAGGGATTTTTATCTATACATGGCTCAAGCATTGAGACTTAGGAATCTCATCAAGGAATACCTTGATACCTGTATTGCTATATATATATTTAATGAGATTAATCTATACCCCAGGCATCCAAGTTTTTGAAACTTTGGACAAGGTTTAAGCTGCTTTACATTTATACTGTCTGGTTGCATAGGGTAAGCTAAAGGTTGTATCAAGATAACAGCATCAGAGAATTTACTTCTTTAAACATTAAATTGGCCACACATACATGGCTAGCAAAACACCAGCAAATCAATATATCATGGCAGGATAGATTGTTGAAAACAGTAAAACTGTATTTCTTTTTAAAACATTGCCATTTAGACATTTAATTAATTTTCAATTTAAATCAGAATCTTTTTTCCAATCAAAAGAGTTTGAATTAAATATTTAGAAATTATAGTGCTTTGGGTATTCCTGATTTAGAATTGTCATGTTAATTAGTACTTATAAAGTTGTGAGTGGGAAATTATTATTCATCAGAAAGATGAAGCACAGCTCTTTGGCACTGCCGTGTATTACATGTTTGAGTCTGTATGCTCCTCAGGTTATTGGGAAGCATGGCACTGTCTAATCACTATCGTTCTGAAGATTTGTTAGACGTCGATACAGCTGCCGGAGGATTCCAGCAGAGACAGGGACTGAAATACTGTCTCCCTTTAACTTTTTGCATACATACTGGTTTGAGTCAGTACATAGCAGTGGAAGCTGCAGAGGGCCGAAACAAAAATGAAGTTTTCTACCAATGTCCAGTAAGTAGAACGTGTGTTTAAATATGGCATTAAGATGTGTTCTGATGGTTGTATAAATGCATGCATTAGGTATTTTCAGGATTGTAGAATGGGTATAGAATATTATGCATTTTAGTTATAGACCTCTCTAACTAGAGTTAATATTCTGACATAATGGCATGGAACCCAAGAGAAAACTTGACAGTTGGACATAAAAAACTGGTGTATATACAGAGGAAAAGCTGCAATTTGTCTTAAGGTATTTTAAGGAAAATTAATGAGGAGCTTTTTGTTGAAGTAATTAATTGTAATATGTGTTTCAGACTTTCCAAAAATTTAGCCTTTGAACATCCTTTGATTCATGCTTTGAGTGCAATAGAAACTTTTAAAACTTTGTTCAGTGGGTATTTGATGTATCGAAAAATGTAGTTCTTTTTTAGGAGACTTTTATTGTTTTAATGTAACCACAGAAAATATGGTATTGGTTTCATTTAATAAAAATGAAAAAATAATTTTCAGTTATCAGTAATTTCTCAGTTACACAACCTCTGCCTTCATTTTTGCCTAGATATGAACTTTTTACTTAAAAAAGGAATTTAAAATAGAAAATTCTAAATTTTGGCTGGGTGTGGTGGCTCATGCCTGTGATCTCAGTACTTTGGGAGGCTGAGGCGGGTGGATCAACTGAGATCAGGAGTTTGAGACCAGCCTGGCCATCATGGCGAAACCCCACCTCTACTGAAAAAAAACACACAAAAACTAGCCAGGTGTGGTGGCGCATGCCTTAGTCCCAGCTACTTGGGGAGGCTGAGGCAGGAGAATTGCTTGAATCCGGGAGGCGGAGGTCATAGTGAGCTGAGATCGAGCCACTGCACTCCAGCCTGGGCAACAGAGCAAGGCTCCCTCTCAAAAAAAAAAAAAAGAAAATGCTTTTCATAGTTGAGACATGTGACTCTATATAACATTTTACATATTTAAAGAGCTTTTATAGCTTTAACTTTTTAAAGCATTTTCATACTTTTTATCTCATTTTTTTACTTGATGTCTCTGTAAGGTTGTAGGATGGTAGCTTGGTCTCTCCATTTACTGAAAGAAATGAGTAACCTAGAACTGTTCGGATCTCTTGACTCTGATTCAGAACCCTTTCTTCTAGGATAACAAGCCATATATCTTCTTATCTCAACTTTATTTTTATCTGTTTTGCCTCGTCTCCAGGGAAAGATACAGATAATGAACAATGAAAAATTAAGTAAAATGTGTTTTTATCGATTGTATTCTTTTTCTCACCTAGGACCAAATGGCTCGAAATCCAGCTGCTATTGACATGTTTATTATAGGTAGGAAAGAAAAAAGTCTTTTTTCCCCCTTCTTCTTCTTCCTGGATATAATAAAAAAATTAAAATGGTAAAAACTTTTTCAGCTACTTTAGCAGCTGGCAATTTCATACTTGGATTTCTTTAAGGTTTGCTGGTTTATAAAGTACTGCATCTAGGTTTTCATTAGAACCGTTTTTGTATTGAATATTTTTAATTTTGAAAAAAGCTAGTCCATATACAATCTCATGCTCTGAGGACTCTTCTATAAGGCAATGAAATATGTAGAAGTGCTGTGAATGTGTATATATTTTTCTTAACATGCACATGTATTATTCATTATATTCATGTATAATTGGGGATACAGATATATAAAGCAACTTTAAACTTTTTCTCTTTTGGTGCTAATGCAGTAGCATTAAGATACTAAGTCACATTAGAGACCTCCAAAGCAAGTCTTTAGGGACTAATATAAACTCTATGCCTTATAAACTCCTTGGTACAACTAGTTTTTCTTGGCCTTAAAAGAGTATTTCTTATAGGTTTTGAGAACCCTTCAATTTGTAAGTAACTACAGCTCACCCCTTTGCTATTTATCCCGTCTTGGCTTGTTTGGATTTTGATCATCCAGAGAAGATTCCTCCAGACTGTCCATTTTGCTTTTTAAGGGTACTGACTGACATATATTAAACATCTACATATATGAATAGTAAAGAGTCCTTGTAGACTGAGGCATTTGTATTCACTTCTGTCTTCTCATTGGAACTTTGAACAATGTATAAGTCTCTATTTGTTCCATACTATGGCACATTCCACGTTCATGGTGTACTTCATAATATCAAGATCTCACTCTTACCTAGTAAGTTATAAAAAGCTTTTAAATGTAGGTCCTAGGTTTCAGCTCACTCTGACTCATGTGGTCTCTGGTTTCTAAGTTAAGCACTCTCTGGAGGTTTTTCCTGTGCTCATTGCCCTCGTTGTTATTTTTGCATAGCACACACTTTCAGAGATTACCATAGTGGCTGTGGTCCAGCAGTGCTACTCAGTTTATAAATGGAAGGCAGCTGAGTGCTAAGGTAAGCTGCTGCCCAGCCTCTGTGAGTTCCTTACTCTTAGTTTGGTGCTCGTCTGACATGGTATGTAGAACCTCACCACTCCAGCAGAGTACTAAGGTGTAATAATACTATGCCAGTAGCTGGGATTTCTCTTAAAATGGGAGAGCAAAGCAAAAGATTGAGAGACACTGAGAAGAGATGAGGTGAGAAGTTAATGCAGGGAGGAAGGATGAAAAAGGAGCTTCCTTTCAGCTGCCTTGATAAAGCTCCAGAACCATCAGAGAGACCCCAACACATGGGCTTACTTTAAAAGGTAAATTACCTTAGAACATATAAATTGCATCTTGATTCAACTAAGTTTGCTTAGACTGGTAACACACAAAATGGCATATCCTGGTGTTCAGTGTACTAATAATAGATATTTAAGAAACCTGGAATCTGTCAGATAAGTTTAGTAGTGAATGCTGCCTAGTCTGTCCTCATCTTAAAGAATACACTCTGGTACGTATTGTAATAAAATAAGGTAGATTAAAATACACCATGCCAATTTTTTTTATGCAAACCACAAATTTGTTTTTAGTTATATAACTTTTTTCCACAAAATATACATATATATGATTTTTAAAAACTCTTTCAGAGAAAGTACTAGTGCTAAAAACGTAAAATTATACCTTCTATGAATTTTAATGACATTATTTATATAACTTCTTAATATCTTACTCAAAGTAGGTACATGATCAGTGAACCTTGAATACAATAGTGTTTAATAAATATTGGGTCAGAATGGGTCATTAATAGATATTGAGGAAAGAGCCAACTATTATAGTTTGCCTTCTCTCAGTTGATGCCTTTTAAAAGTTTAAAGCCTTGTACCCTTAGATATAAGCCAAATTGTATCTTTTATCATTCCCTAAATAGAATAATTAGTAAACACTATAAATTTAGCATCTGACATTCAGTGTGACAGAGTGTAGAAACTGGGTTAATTGAAACCAGATTACAAAGAAATTCATTGTTGAACAACATTAATTAAAGGACTAATACATTCCAGGCACTGAGATGTATTAACAGTAAATAATGGGGGGTCTGACAGAGTTATGTTAAATATTACCTAGAAGGGGTAAACATTATTAATTCATGTAAATACTTGTTATAATCCAATCATTAGATCACAGATATATGGTCTGGACTAGACTGTTCCAGTAATCCTTTTCTGCTTTGAGCTGGTCACTAAGAAGATGGAGGACCGCTGTGCAATTAAATCTATAGTAGTGTGCAACTAGACCACTTTGGGATTGGCCCGATGCACAGAACTCCACAATGTCATGTCCCTGGTAGATGTCCAGACTGAGCCTGGCTTCTGCCAAAATTTTGTGCTTGAGTCAGGATGTACCTGGACCAGGGACGTCTGAGAATAGGTGCTGATATTTTTCTTGTAGTTTCTTCCTAGTCATAGCTGTATTTTCTTTGTTCTATATGTTCAATAAATTACAGACAGAAGGCTTTTCATTCTTGTACCACAATGAATTAAAGTTTAAAATTTGATTAATTATAAGTGTAAAAAAATAGTCTGAAGGTCATTGGAGGATTCTCTAACAATAGTTGGGGGGATGAAGAGGGGGAGAATCCCAAGGAAATAAGGTGGATAGAATTGAGAATAGAAATTGATCTTATAAATAATTAGTACAATTATATCTATAAATGTTTCTAGTTTTGGTATCACATTCTAAAGCATAGAGGAATTACAATTGTTTCCTGTATAGATTTTACAAAACTATTTGTTCTTTTCTTTTTTTCTCCCTTTCCTGCTTTATAGGTGCTACTTTTACTGACTGGTTTACCTCTTATGTCAAAAATGTTGTATCAGGTGGCTTCCCCATCATCAGAGACCAAATTTTCAGGTATTTTATTTTGGGTCTTTTTGGATTGAAATGATTGTAAATCAGAGAAAAATGATAAGTCACAGATCATGAAATGAAGTTTCCCAAGAAGGTTGATAATAGAACCTCTCTATTGAGGTTGATAATAGAAGATTGTCTTCAGTCTCACTATTTTATTCTCACTTTAAAGCCAAACATCTAAATGCTTAGACAACTGGTATTTTTCCTATCCAGAAGAATCAAGAAAAAGCTGATTTTGATTTAGAAACTATGGGTTAATAGTATCTATATAATTTATTTTTGAAAAACACCAAAAAGTTATTTGGCAACTGATAGATTTATTATGAATAGCAAGTCGGTAACTGTTAATTCCTGGCAAATATTTATTATCTCTAAATGGAACATTCAGGTATTGTAGGGAGTACTGGAGGTAATACTGGTTCATAATAGCCTGGTTGGCAGAAATGATAGATTGATTATACATTAGAGGCTTCTGAGAACAGCATACTTGCACATTTTTATTGTCAGAGCCATCATTTAGCATTGGACATCATGCAGCTGGGTTTTCAGATGTCCCAAAAGTTTCCTTAGCCCTGGAAACTGAATAAGCTCATTTTTGTTTCCAAGCTAATTACCAATCCGTTATTTGAACCACTGATCATTGAACCTTGATTGCTGTCATTACTGATCCAGAGTCACCAAGGTTTTGTAGTTTGTTTCTAGTTTCCTTCAAAGTTTAATAGGACTATACCCAAATATTATTGAACTTTTCTGGGTCTGAAATATGATTTAAATTTTTTGTCCTAAAGTATAACCTATTTTGCATCGTATCTTTTAAATCCTGTAGTTGATTTTAAAATGTTTAATTTTTAAATTACCTAGATATGTTCACGATCCAGAATGTGTAGCAACAACTGGGGATATTACTGTGTCAGTTTCCACATCGTTTCTGCCAGAACTTAGCTCTGTACATCCACCCCACTATTTCTTCACATACCGAATCAGGTGAGAATTTTAAATGGGGTCACCTTTCAGTTAATGGTGGGATATATCCAATGGACATGTTGCTATTGTCCCATTTGACATGATATGTAAGACACATTTTGAAAGAACTTGCTGAAGTTTGGAGGAAGGTGGATACATTTTCTACAAGATAGTGTTCATGGAGGACTTTGACTTCATATTAACCTCTAAGTTAAGTTATTTCTTGAAAATATACTGGGTATCAAGTATTGTGCCAGGTACTGTGGAAATGGACCACTAAGTTGTAGTCGTCATTAAAGCTTCAAGTTGTAATGCATTCTAGAAGCTCTCAAATTGCCATAATAAAGTCATGCATTTTAAATTTCATCTGGCCTATTTATATTCAATTAAAAAATCTAATAAATGTGTATTGAGTGCTTCATGGATGTCAGACATAGTGTTAGACATTGAATTTTATTAAATAAGAAGCAAATATTTTAAATTTACGTTAGTTAGAAGTATTCTGTGCTATGACACAAAGATAACTCATTGCCCTAAGGGATTAAGGATACTGTGCTTTAAAATATATTTTTATATATTTTATGTAATATATAAGTATATTTTAAAATACACATACATGCATATATGCATACTGGAAGTATTTGAGTAAAATATAACTACCAGGAAGCATCCTAGGATTTAGATACTGTATGCAACCTTTGCTATATCCAAATACACATGTATAGATATTTGTCGTTTACTTGTTTGATTTAGATCCTGCCTAGGATTGAGATGTGCTCAAAATAAAAATACCAACACATACTTATAGGGTACTCAAAGTGAAAATAAGAGACACCAGATTCCTAGGGAAAGGGGAAAGTGATAGCATTGGGAAACAGAGTCAAAGTGTAATCCCAGGCTGGACACGGTGGCCCACGCCTATAATCGCAGCACTTTGGGAGGCTAAGGTGAGAGGATTGCTTGAGTTTGGGAGTTCAAGACCAGCCTGGACAACATAGTGAGACCTTGTCCTACAAAAATTTTTAAAAAAATTAGCCAGGTGTGGTGGCACATGCCTGTAGTCCCCAGCTACTAGAGGAGCTGAGGCGGAAGAATGGCTTCAGCCTAGGAGGTCAAGGCTGCAGTGAGCCCAAGATTACACCAGTGCACTCCAGCCTGGGTGGCAGAGTGAGACCCTGTCTCAAAAAAAAAAAAAAAAAGTGTAATCCCAGTAACTGGTGACATCTTGTCTTAAACTGTCTAGAAACTAATGGAAAAAAGGGAAATGGGTTGTATAGTCTCATGCAGTTAAAGAGAGACTTTCAGTTCTCCGGAAGTTTTTCATGGCACTATTTTCTAGAAAGCATTTGCCAAATTGATCTTTATTTGAACAGCGAAAGATTGTTGTCACCATTATGTTGCACATTTTATGTTGCCCTTTCTGTTGTTGATCCACACTGACAGTCAAATGCATAAGTTGAGTGAAAGCATTTTTGTAGGGGGATCAAGTTAATGAAGCCAGTATCTTTGAGAACTTAGAAAAATAGATGGCTAACATGGACTTTGGGTTGGGTTTCTTAATTTTTTGGAAATTTTTCTTCATAGTATTAGCCTGAATACTGTATCTCTTAAACCAAAGAAACAAAGAAGCCAGATTTTTGTCTCTACCACCCCATTCCCTTCTCTAGGATTGAAATGTCAAAAGATGCACTTCCTGAGAAGGCCTGTCAGTTGGACAGTCGCTATTGGAGAATAACAAATGCTAAGGGTGACGTGGAAGAAGTTCAAGGACCTGGAGTAGTTGGTATGGAACCCAAGATTTAGGTTTATACATTAATTCCTTAGAAGAAATGTTAGACTTTGCATCCTAAATATAACATATAAATGTATAAAGGTCGTTATCCTATTAATTTAATCCCTTAAGCATTAACTTTTCTGAAATAATAGCAAACTTAATTATTCAGGGATTGATTTCCCTTTTTGTGGATTTTATTTTATTTTTTTTAACTGGTTCATTATTCATTGTATGTTGTGGGTTAGAACACATAGGGCAGAAAGGGGGAAATAAATTTTGTATTCGTCATGTTTTTTGAAGCTTGGGGGGAAATGTTAAAATTAATGGCATGAATTTTTATTGTTTGTAGATTTCAGTCACTTTAATTCTGGTTACCATTGTCATTTGGCTTTCTTAAAGATTATGATTATCTGAAGTCTCTGAGCCCTCAGATGCTTCAGGTTTGAATATATGCTCCAGGAAAATAACATATTTATGCTATGTACTTCTGTTATCAGTTCTAAGCATATACAGAATTCAGTTTAACGTTTTCTAAATTCATTGCCATGGATAGATCTACATGTTTACTTAACAAATTTTTTTCCTGGGCTTCAGTCCAGGAATTTTTTCTGGATCTAGCGCTAAGAGAGAGGCTTTATTAAAGCCACAGTTCTTTTTCTGCCATTTGGTCCAGTGGTATAAGGACTCTCCCTTGTGAGTGCCATTTTGTCTGGTCTGAATGCTTAGGATGCATCTTCACAATTTTATGTTTTTGTTTCTTGCTACTTTAAAAATATTTAGATTACCTTATCTTTGTTTGAACTGGTGTCTGTGATGCTTTTTATTACTCATGTCTTAAAGGTTGTGTCTTCAATGCCTCAAAGCTTTTTGAAAAAGAAACATGCCTGTTCTGTTTTTTTTTTTTTTTTTACTAGATACTTCCCACTTTCTACATTGTAGGGAATTTGAGGAATACATTAAAAAAATGTTGAGAGGGCTAAGCGCAGTGGCTCACGCCTGATATCCCAGAACTTTGGGAGGCCAAGGTGGGCGGATCACCTGAGGTCAGGAGTTTGAGACCAGCCTGGCCAATGTGGCAAAACCCTGCCTCTACTAAAAATACAAAAATGAGCTGGGCATCATGGCAGGTGCTTGTAATCCCAGTTACTCAGGAGGCTGAGGTGGGAGAATAGCTTGAGCCCAGGAGGTGGAGTTTGCAGTGAGCTGAGATCACGCCACTGCACTCCAGCGTGGGCAACAGAGCAAGACTCTGTCTCAAAAAAAAAAAAAAAGTCAAGAGGAATAAAATACCTACTCATTGTCCTATCACTGTTAACATTTTGTTACATTTTCTTTTGGAATTTTTTTTTCTAACTGTGCATTTACTATTATATAGTTTACATAATGCCATGGAGACCATACCTTATTTATTGTAATAAAGAAATGAATTTTATACTTTGGTTTATTGTTACTGTTTTCCCTGCAGGTGAATTTCCAATCATCAGCCCAGGTCGGGTATATGAATACACAAGCTGTACCACATTCTCTACAACATCAGGATACATGGAAGGATATTATACCTTCCATTTTCTTTACTTTAAAGACAAGATCTTTAATGTTGCCATTCCCCGATTCCATATGGCATGTCCAACATTCAGGGTGTCTATAGCCCGATTGGTAAGTTAAATTTTCCTCTAGTGCTGATTTACATGACTTTGTAGGGTTAACACTGCAGATAAGCCAGGCAAATAGTTAGTTTATAAATAGTGTTCCAGAGAACCCTAGAGATTTTGAGAAAGTATCTTGGGGGTCATGTGAATTTGTTGAGAGAAATGGACAAGTAAATGAGGCTCCATAGTCTCTAACCAGAGAATTTCTGCTGTTTTAAAGATTCAACTTGTTTTTCACTGTTCAGTGGCCTAAATGTAGATTATGAGAAATACCACATTAGACCAGTAGAATCAGCTTTAAGACTGGGAAAACAACTTCTTACAGTGTTTTTGCTCAAACTTCCAATTTAATGTCAAATAAACAAATATTCCATAAAGATCATTATAAAGAAAATTTAATGTGTGGATGTGTACTTTTGGCAGTCTCTCTGGGATCATTTCTTAAGTCAACTAGGTATATTTTTTAAAATCTCGTTTTTAGGGTTACCTTATGACAAGTGTAACAGTAACTCCAACCTTAGAGACTATAACATGATTAAAGAAAGTTATGAAGCTCCAGTTATACAATGGGGATAAAATATGAATTATATACCCAGAATGCAATTGAGTTGTAGGTGTTGAATCTTTGGAAAATGCCCTCTAGCTTCTGGAATGACCCTGATGGATGGGTTTAAGTTTGGAAAGATGGACATGATATTAATCTGATCCAGAGCTGACACATTTTCAACTCCAGTTTGAAAAGAGAAGGATGATAATGAGACTTTGGGCCATTACCTGTGTGGCATATCTAGTGAAAAGAATCTACAGTGTGCGTTTGGAAGTGAAGATTTAGATTTCTTCCCAGTGGAGGAATGCCAGAAACTGTATTTCCAGTACTGGGAATTTGCTGCTTTGCATAACAGAATTCCTTTTTTGACTGGCCCAGTATCTGTATGAGTTTGGAATAATCTTTTCCCTAAATGTTTGATATGATTCATCACTGAAGTTATCTGGGGCTAGAGTTCTGTTTGTGGGAAAATTTTGAAATTTGAATTTAATTTCTTTAATATTCATATTTTCTATTTCTTCTTGTTTCAGTTTTGGTAATTTGTGCCTTTCAAGGAATTTGTCCATTCCATCTAAATGTTGAATTTATTGGTATAAAGTTATTGACAGTATTCCCTTGATATCCTTTTAATGGCTACAAAAGCCATAGTCACTTGTCCTCTTTTGTTCTTAATATTGTTAATTTATATCTTCTCTTTTGTTCATTGCTTTAGTTAGGGGTTTGTAATTTTTATTGATCATTTAAAGGAGCAACTTTTGGTTTTACTAATTTTCTCTATTTGCTTATTTTCTATCGCATTGATTTCTGCAGTTATCTTTATTTCTTTCCTTCTACTTTGAGTTTGCTTTTCTTCTAGCTTTTTTAAGGTAGAAGTTTATATTAGTAATTTTAGAACTTTTCTCTCTCCAAGCACTGTTTTAGCTGCATTTCACAAGTTTTGATGTGTTTTCATGAACGCGTAGTTCAAAATAGTGTCAGATTTCCCTTGTAATTTAATTTTGATCTATGACTTTTCTAGAAATGTGTTAATTTTCAAACATTTGGGGGAGTTTTCAGTTATCTTTTGGCTATCGATTTTTTAAATTTATTGTGGTTAGAGAATTTGCTCTGTATTTTCAATCCTAAATGTTTTATGGCCCAAAATTATGGTTTATCTTGGTAAATGATCCTTGTATATTTGAAAATAATGTACATTCTGCTATTTTGGGGAATATTACTCTATAAATGATAGGTCAAATCGGTTGACAGTTTTTTTCAAGTCTTCTGTATACTTGCTGATTTTTTTTTTTTTTGGTCTTTGTCCTATCAACAAGTGAGAGATGATTGTTGAAATCTCCAAATATAATTATAGTTTTTTGTTTCTCTTTTTAGTTCTGTCAGGTTTGCTTCATGTATTTTGAAGCTGTATAATTATATGCAAATATGCTAAGGATTATTATGTATTTTTAATGACATAATTCTTTCATCATTATGAAATCTCCATCTTTATCGCTGATAATATTCCTTGTCCTAAAGTTCAAAGAGCATTGAGGTGTGTTTTGGCAGGCAGTTGAGTTACTATTGGGTCGACTTGATCCTTTGGAATCTTGTTTGTTTTTAATGTTTGTTAGGGTGGGTGTAAAGTTGTCTTTATTTAAGGACGGTGGTTGTCAACTTTCAGTCTCATGACCCCCTGAAACTCTAAAAACTTATTGAGGACTCCGAAGAATTCTTGCTTATGTGGATTGTATTAATGCTTACCATATCAGAAATTAAAACTGAGAAATAAGTAAAACAATATTTACTTATTAGTTCCTTTTCAAATGACAATAATAAACCCATTTCATGTTCAGCTCTCTCTTAACTATGTTCTTTCTTATTAGTTTTCGTTTCCTTCTAACCACAAATAAACATATAAAATCTTGACCTGCCTTGTGGAAAATGTTTTCTCTCAAGGATGAGAAATAAAATGAGAATTCTGGACTTACTTCTTATCAACATTAAAAAAGCCATGGGGGTTGTATTTGTTGACCTTTCCTGTTTGTATATTAGTTTTCTGATATGGAGAATTGTTCTGCTTTTTCGTCCTCTACCAGTCTGATTAATTCGTAGGCTTAACACTTCCTTTTTCTTTCTCCTTGGAATGCCTCTTGGGATATGCATTAGTTGGTCTTATGTCTTTTCTTGGTCTAGGTGGTGTGTGTGTTTGGCTTGTTTGGGGCACTTTTAGAGGCTCCAGCTGCACATTTCCACTCCTCTCTGTGTGTTCCTCTCTGCATCTGCTGTTTGTGTGTGTACACTTTTTTTCTGAGCAATCTTTCTCCTTAGCCACATTGAGTTCTTTAACAGTTTTTCTGTTTTCTTCTTCATTAAGATAATTAATAATCATACTACTCACATATCATGTTTTAGAACTTCCTAAGCCTTTCCCTTTCCCACCTTTTGGACCTCCTAACTGAATTTCAAAGTCTTCATTCCTTAGATTAAAAAAATAAATCCAAAGATAAAAGAATGTAATGTCTTATAAGTCGTATCAGTGTATATTTTCTCTGTTATTGTTGTTAGTGTTATAATAAATCCTAAGTGACACAATTCCTTTCTCCTACATTAATTCATTTGCTTGTACAACAACTATTTATTGAGCACTGTGATTAACAATATAATCAAATTCCCTGCCTTGGAATTTACATTCCAATTCAAAGAGACAAACTGTAACAATAAACACTATGTCCTTATATTAAGTAGTAATAAGTGCTGTGGAGAAACAGCAGAGTAAAGGGGATAAAGAACGTATTGTTAGGTTGTTCTAATATAAAGATGTGTCAGGAGAGGCCTTGGTGACATTTAAGCTGAAACGTGAAAGGAGCAGAGGGAATTAGGTGGATATGTGGGAGACGAGAGGTCGAAGCAAAGGAGCAGCACGTGTGGAGGTTCCGAAACAGTAATGTGCTTGGTGTGCTTGACCCAAGGAGGCCAGTGTAGCTGGAGTGCAGTGAACAACAGGGAGAGGGGCTGGAGATTAGATCAGAGTGTTAATGGGGTGGTGGATCACGTAACACCATAAAAGCCTTGGTGGAAGGACTCTGGCTGACATCACGCCCCAAGTTGCCCCATACTTTCCAGAATACCAAGTAGGTCCTTGCTGTTCAGAATTCTGTTCAATGTAGCAGCCCCTCCCATTGCGTCTTCAAATGTGTGAGAGAGAACATTGACAGCAGAGTAAGTCATGGCTTGATTACAGACATTGCATGGGCAGAATTGACATTTCCAAGAGATATTCAGATGCATGTTCAACATCACTACTGTCCTAATCTGAGAGCCTCCAACAAGGTAATTTTAAAATAGAGGCTGTCATTTCCTTCCAGTGTGGGTTGATCTTAGATATATACTTATAACGAATCGGCAAAGTGACACTGTGATTTCTGAGTTAGAAAAAGGTAATATTCCTTCAGCCTAGGGTTCTGTCTTTCTCTCCTGGGACATGTGTCTTTGACACCCTGAGCCACCATGTAAGAAGTCCAGCTACCATGAAGCCGTCATGCAGAAGAGACCATGTAGAGACATCACACAGAGATAGAGGGAGGCACCCAGGAGCCCCAGCTGTTTCAGACTCCAGATATTTGGATCATCCTGCGCGGGTACCAGACATGTGAATGAAGAAGCTCGTGAGATGACTGCAGTTCCAGCTACCATCGGACTGCAACATCACGGGACACCCCAACCCAGAACCACCCCACTGAATACTTCCCAAACACCAACCCACATGAACCATGAGAGATAATAATGACTGTTGCTGTTTCAAGCCACTAAAAAAATAAAAATATTTTTTTAAAAAGTAGAGGCTACTGATGGTTGAATTGAAATGATGTGTCTTTATGGTAGGAGCTCAATAAAAATCTTAGATCTCTTGTTGACAGTGCATAAAAGTTACCAGTAGAGGTCATACTTGATTAATATTTTCATATCCTCTTTTCTGTAAGTATATAGCTTAATAATTATTATTCAGTATATGAATATAAGCTCAGTAAAACTGTATCTTGGATTGTTACAAGTGGTCTGTTTGCTACCTTCTGTGAATTACCAACTACTGTGTAAAAAATAAGTACTGGCTTAGTGAAATATTTACCATTAAAACCATACTGAGCTGGGCT
Organism: Homo sapiens; assembly: GCF_000001405.40. Taxonomy (NCBI): domain Eukaryota; kingdom Metazoa; phylum Chordata; class Mammalia; order Primates; family Hominidae; genus Homo; species Homo sapiens. The sequence continues at coordinate 33,742,459 of NC_000011.10, read as the reverse complement.
GGGTCGCATGCACCTGTAGTCCCAGCTACTCGGGAGGATGAGGTGGGAGAACTGCTTGAGCCCAGGAGTTTGAGGCTAGCCTAGGCAACACAGCAAGAACTCGTCTCTAAGAAAAAATAATAATTTTTTTAAAAAGAAGATCTTCCATTAAACAACAACAAAAAAATCACACTGAGCATTATTTAACACAAGATATAGAATCCACTCCAGAATCTTGCATCAGCATGTGTGTTGTGAGAATCCACTGTTCAAGTCTATGGAAATTCATATTTGGCGTGTCTGGTTGTTTGAATTCTAGATAAATGAGAATTTACATGAAATAACTAAAAAACTGATAGATGCTCTTCTTATCAAAAGATTGTTTTCTCTTTCAAGGAAATGGGTCCTGATGAATATGAAGAGATGGAAGAAGAGGAGGAGGAGGAAGAGGAGGAAGACGAGGATGATGATTCAGCAGATATGGATGAATCAGATGAAGATGATGAAGAGGAGAGACGGAGGAGAGTCTTTGATGTTCCCATTCGCAGACGCCGCTGCTCACGCCTTTTTTAGCAAGCCTTCTGCTGATGGAAGCACTAGGATGATTCTAGGCTGTTAAATAGATTTCTCAATAATGTAAATAACTAAATTGTTCTCTGCATATAGCAGGAAAACTAGCATGAAATATTGTTTCAGGCCCTGGGTTCTATGTGACACTACATTAGGAATTGGATTGTTTGGGTTTGCTTTGTGTTTTTGAGGTAGAGGAAGAAATGGGAATCTTTTTTTTCTCTTCCAGGAGTCAGTGGAAGAATAGTTCTCTAGCTAAGGAATGGACATACCTTTGTTTTAAAATATTTTATACTTACAAAAATCTAGAAATGGAGAGGGAACTGTTTTGAATAAGGATTTAAAATACCTGCACAAGGATAGAGAGAAACTATGTGACTCATTCTGTGAAAAGACTTCTTGCAGTTGTGAGTTATTTAGAAATGATCAAAATTTGTAATTAGGCTAATCCATTTAGTGATTCCTAATATTTTGTACTCACAGAGAACTAATTGACTAAACAACTTGAACGCTAGTGGTTTGTCCTTAGACAATCTGTCTTTGAATTTAAAGTCTTTATCGCTAAGACCTTGACTTTAAATTTTTCATCACTACAACCTTGAATTTAATTTCAGGTCTTCAACATGATGACCTTGGATTTAATTTAAAGTCTTCAACACTATGCGCTTTATCATATTATTCACAGATGCATTTTTGAAATGTAGTATGTAAAAGTATGTAACGTGCTGTTTATTAACAAAAGATTGTTCACAACATCTCATGTAGTTTAAATTTGTAAATACTGCTTCTGTTTTGTTTCTCCTTTATACACTTGACTGTCTTTGTGATAAGTGACATGAATTTTATGTTAGGATTAAGTATGTTTTCCTGAAACTTGGATTTTTTTTGTAATTATATAATTGAGAGTTAAGAATGAAATCCTTCAAGTGTTAAAAACTCACATTTTAAAAGCAAATTTTGGTTCCAATTCTGTATTTTGTATAATTGCTTATTTTCCATAAACTAATATTAGTCAGCATTTGCTTTTAAGGTAGAAGATGGGATGGATTCTTGCTGACCTGCTGCAAAAGTAGCAGGTCCACTCAAAGTCATCTCCTAGCTTTGACTGTACTGTCTTGTGTGCCCCACCATCCATTTTCCCCCAAGAACAGTTATTTTATAGAGAAAACTGTAAGAAAACAAGTGGCATTCAAGGCTAAGCAGCTGCCATTAGGGAACATGAAGACAAACTTATCCTTTCATTTTCACACATGTCAAGGTGTTCTGAAATAGACTAAGTCATTTTTCATGTTTACTTTTCATTTAATAGAGTATAATCAGGCTATCAAATCCTATTATGGCTATCCTTTTTTTTTTTTTTTTTTGAGACGGAGTCTCACTCTGTGGCCCAGGCTAGAGTGCGGTAGTGTGATCTCGACTTACTGCAAGCTCCACCTCCCGGGTTCACGCCATTCTCCTGCCACAGCCTCCCAAGTAGCTGGGATTACAGGTGCCCACCATCACGGCCGGCTAAGTTTTTGTATTTTTAGTAGAGACAGGGTTTCACCATGTTAGCCAGGATGGTCTCGATCTCCTGACCTCATGATCTGCCCACCTTGGCCTCCCAAAGTGCTGGGATTACAGGCGTGAGCCACCGCCCCCGGCGGCTATCCTTTTTAGAAAAAAAGTCAATTGTCTTTATTTAGTTTGTTATAACAAAATACCTTAGACTGAGTCATTTACAAACAATAGAGATTTATTGCTCACAGTTCTGGAGGGTGGGAAGTCCAAGATCAAGGCATCAGCAAATTTGGTGTCTGGTAAGTACCCACTCTCTGCTTCAAAGATGGCACCTTCTTGCTGTGTTTTATGTGGTGGAAAGAGCAAACAAACTTCCTCAGGCCTCTTTTATAAGGGCACTAATCCCCTTCATGAGGGCAGAGCCTAAAGGCCCTACCTCTTAATACTATTGCTTTAGGGATTGGATTTCAACAATTTGGGGGAACAAAAACATTCAGACCATAGCGTCAAACCACTTAATTTTTTCAAAACCGAACTTTTCCAATAAAGCAGTAATCAAAAACTAGTAAATCTTGGCAATTAAGGCTGGCCCTGGAATCCCTTGCCATTTTTTCTTTCTCTTTTCTGATGACCTCTCTCTCTATTTCCAGAGTACTTATGATGCCCCAAATCTCCCTTCCAACCCTGTCTAACCTTTGCTCCTCAGAATGCTTTGATTTGCTTTATCCTCTCATCAGAATTCACATTCTCTTAGTATGTTGAATGAGTGACCTCTAGTTCATACTGAGGTGTAGTTTTTTGTTTGTTTTTTCAGACAGTCTCGCTGTGTCTCCCAGACTGGAGTGCAGTGGCATGATCTCGGCTGACTCCAACCTCCGCCTCCCAGGTTCAAGTGATTCTTATGCCTCGGCCTCGTGGGTAGCTGGGATCACAGGTGTGCACTACCATGCCCTTTTTTGCATTTTTAGTAGAGCCAGGGTTTCACTATATTGACCAGGCTGGTCTCAAACTCCTGTCTTTAAGTGATCCTCCTGCCTCTGGCTCCCAAAGTGTTGGGATTACAGGTGTGAGCCACCGCGCCCGGCCTAACGTGAAGTTTGTTGGTAACAAGCTTCTGTATTTTCTGCTATTGGCAAGAATGCTTATTCACACGTAACAGGAATTTAACAGTTGGCATTAATGTTGCCCAAACCAGACTCTACTTTTGGTGGTGAAAAGGCCATTTCTGGCTCTGAGGACCCTTGAAAACACAACTGATTTTTTTTACTAATTTCTCTGAGGCTTGATATATCACTAGAATAAGACAAATACCTAAATTAACAGTAGCTTAAATAGTTTGGGGGTGGTTATTCTTGCGAATAGTCAGAGGTAGCTAGTTCAAGGCTGACATGATGGCACAGTGGTGTTATCAACAGTCCAGATTGGCTCCATCTTTCTGACCTGCCATCCTTAGCACAAGACTTTTCCTCTCAAAGACGATCATGGTTGCATACTGGCTGCTGCAGGCATATTGTATTCACAAAAGGATGATGATAACAAGGTAAAATGAAGTGGAAAATGAAAAGTGAGGCATGAGGCTGGAGAGGTAAACTAGCCAGGTCTCTAGCAGCCGTGTGGAGGGCAAGCAGAGAAGGGGCAGGGGATGCAGGAATTGACATGGGCAACATGGGGACCTGGTATTAAGGAATTGTAATGGCTCAAGCAACGCAAACTACAGATCTGAATTAGCACAGTAGCAATGTGAAAAAGGAATGAAATTGAGATATTGAAATGGTAAAATAGGCAGGAATGGCTGAGTAGATGTGAGGGAGTGGAAGAGGTCAACGTTGATTCCTAGGTTTCTGTCTTCATTTATGAAAAAAATTCAGGAAAAGCAGTCACTCTTTAAAGATGAATTCAGATTTGTGCACATTAAGTTCAAGATGTCTGTGGAACATATAAGTGGAGATGTCCAGCAGTCAGCTGGATATGAATATGAAGATAGGGGGAGTGGTCAGGGATGGAGACAGACTTTTGAATCATCTGCAAACATACATCCCAAGGTAAAAGAGTAGATACACTATAGTCTCCCAGGGAGCACACACAGCCATGGTTCTCAGTCTAATCCTGGGACACCAAATTATTAGTGGGTAAAGGAAAAGAATCTCAAGACCGAATGGTCAAGAAACCATTCTAGGGAACCAAACTAGGAGAGAGTGGCATCTCAGAAGCCAAGCGTGTCAAGGAAGGAATAGCTAACAGGATGTGTGTAAGGTATGTACACAAAAGAGCTTTGGAATCCATCTTGGGAAATATACAGTATTAGCTGTTTTAAGGAGACATGCTTTAAATATCAAAGCAAGTCATCCTGATTTAAAAAACTCCCACTTGTATAGAGGAATACCAGGATTTGAGCACCACCAAATGGAACTCATTCCCTGACATCCCAAAGCCATCAGAATAACAGTAGAAGCGTCAAGACAGTTACTATATGATTTTCCCTGCAAGACATTCAGTAATCTATGATTCCCCCTGCTTAAATTTTATCTCATGCCTTCTTCCCTGACCAGTTCAACACAAGCAGCCCTGAGATGTAATATCTTCTCACCCTGACCCTCAAAGTGTGTCTCATGCTTTCTAACAGAGGCCATCCTCTTGGAGGAAGACTTGTACTTTTGGCCTGTAGCCCCACCCTCCCTCCTATGGCGTTCTTACAGTCAGTTCTGCAGTGAGTGGGACACTTTCCAAATATAATAGCAAATGGAAACTTCTAATTACATCTGCACATAAAACTAATGTTCCAAATGGTGGTTGCGGTTCTGGTGAGTGCTTATAATTTTTTGTTACCTCAGCATCCATTTTTGAATATGTTTAACTTTTAATAACAGAAGCAAGTCTCAGTCACCATTGACAGTTTCCAGTACTATACCCCACGCAAATGGCTCTAGCTGGTGGCCAGAGATAAACATGCAGTGATGTGATAACAGGGCACTACTGCAGCTTCAAACTCTGGTTCAAGTTCCTCCCACCTCTGCCTTTTCACCTGCTTGCTTTTAAATCCACCAGTTAGAGCTCTCCAGAGGAAACCTAACTGGATAAAGTTGCTGGCCCAAAGGTCCGTTCCTCCCTTCCCTCTCCCTGTTCTCCCTGATCTCCGTGTGTGTGTGTGTGTGTGTGTGTGTGTGTGTGTGTGTGTCCTCTAGGCAAGCTGTGTACCACCCAGGGTCCGTAAGTACTAAAAACTCTTAAACTTTCACACCGCTGTGTTATTGAAACCATGCCTACAATCCAGTCCCTGAGGCGAGGCCACCCTGAAGGGACAGACTCATGCAGGCGGATCCCCTGGTCTTGCTCTTCTGTCCCTGCCTCTGGTGGCTGCTGGGGAACAGTAGCTACCAGCTAAGTTGATAGAGACACTCGAAGAGGTTCATTCAAAACACTGGTCCCCGAGCAGCCCAGTAAGCTTTTAAACGCATAACATTTTGTTTGGGTCTCAAACAAGTCACAAGGCACGGATACGGATGCGGCTGTGGCTGATGGCTATTTGGATGCTGCCCAAGCCTCGCAGTAGGAAGCAGCTTCAGACTGCAGCAGGGCCGCATAGCCCGATAGCCAGGCCCTGGGGCACCCAGGGCACCAGCAAGACGCACAGAAACGTTTTGAAAAACATTTTAATATACTTAAAAAAAAAGTAAAAGGGAAAATCAGAAGTCTTTGGAAGTTTCCTACTGTTTTTATGTCCCATAGCAAATCCGAGGAGGACGCCCCAAACTTTCAGTTCCCTGGGGTTTTGAAGGTGCTCATTGGGTCCTGGCCACCCGGCCTTCTCAGAACCTGGGCCAGGAGGCTGAGCTCCGCGCGGGGGTGGAGGGAGAGGAGGAGGTTCCTGCCGAGGTGCGGCTGCGCGGTGCGGGAGCCGGGAGCCTGGGAGGGCAAGGGCATCCTGAGGGGCGGGGCCGGGGGGCGGAGCCTTGCGGGCTGGAGCGAAAGAATGCGGGGGCTGAGCGCAGAAGCGGCTCGAGGCTGGAAGAGGATCTTGGGCGCCGCCAGGTAAGAAGGCCCGAAGGCCTGCTGGGGTTTGGGTGAGCCGAGCCGAGGTGGCGGCGGCAGTCTGGGCCCGGGCGGAGGGTCTGTGGGGGCTACCCCCGTCCTCGCTTTCCACTCGACCCCTGCCGGGCGAGCCTCCCGAGGCCTGGCCCTTCCAACCCGTCACCGCGGCCCGGTGTCCTAGCCGAACGCTGGCTTCATTTTATCTACGAGGAAGGAGAAACGGGGAGCGCGCCCTCTCCCAGAAGCAGCCCCGTTACCCCCGTCGCGCCCCCCATTCCCTCGGGGGCAGCCTCGCACCCGGGCCCCTGCCATCGCTTTCGTCTCAAGGGAAGCTCTAGCGGTCCAGAGAAACTGCGCCGGGGGAAAGGCCAGCCCTCCGTGGTCACGGCAGTTCCTCTCTCCCCTCGCGGTCTAAATGTGTAATTTTGAAAAGCAGGTGTCGGGCGAAACGGACTTTTTTTTTTTTTTGAGATGGAGTTTCGCTGTTGCCCAGGCTGGAGTGCAGTGGCGCGATCTGGGTTCACCGCAACCTCCGTGTACCGGGTTCAAGCGATTCTCCTGCCACAGCCTCCTGAGTAGCTGGGATTACAGGCATGCGCCACCATGCCTGGCTAAATTTTGTATTTTTAGTAGAAACGGGGTTTTCCCATGTTGGTCAGGCTGATCTTGAATTCCTGACCTCGTGATCCGCCCGCCTCCGCCTCCCAAAGTGTTGGGATTACAGGTGTGAGCCACCGCGCCCGGCCGAAACGGACGTTTTAAGTACAACGTGATGTTTTGTTTTCTTGGGTCGGCTCGGGCCGCACCCTTCTTAGAGTCTGACTGCTGACTTTTCAAAAAACAACATTAACCCGGGAGGCTGAGGTAGCGGTGAGCCGAGATCGCGCCATTGCCCTACTGCCTGGGCAATAAGAGCGAGACTCCGCCTCAAAAACGAACAAAACCCACAAAGAACAAACAAAAAAAACCAACATTAAGCAGTGTGCCTTTTATGGCCGTTTAGTGATACCCAGGCTCTTCACTGGTCATTTCTGGAAGTATTTAACAGCACTTGATGGGTAAAACAATAGGCTTCACTTCACAGGGTGGTTGAGATGATTGACGGAAAGCGCTCAGCACAAACGCGGCGGCTGCTAATTATTTCAGGTACCCTGCGATCCCTGAGCAGTTGTTCAAGTTCTCCACTCCTGGCGGTTTACTCCCAGTTCCCTGAAGAAGGCACAGAGCCCCGAATGTTGAGGGAGATGGCAACGTTTGCCAAAATGTGGCTATTTACGTGGCAGTTTATGAAGGAGAGGCAGAAAGGGAGGCTGCCTCCCCTACAAGCCAAACAGTCCTAAAACTTGTGGCCTCTGTATTTTCACAGTGGAAACTAGAAACTGTTTGCTGAACTTAGCTGTAAGAAAAACATCCCATTAGCTGAGTGGCTTAGGAGATAAAAGCCTAAATAAAATGGATCTTAGGGTGAGAGAGTGGGGTGCCTAATGGCATTCATCTTTGACAGCTGCTGGTAGAAGCTCTTGAAAAGTAGAGCATGGAAAATTCTGGGCCACCTCTTTAAGAACCTCAGCCAAACCGCCACAGACATTGCCAAGCCCAGAAGTGCTTGAGGCTTTCTAAAGGCAAAGACTTCTTTTTACTTATGTCCTATATCTTAGGAAACATATTCACTAAACCTTGGTTTTGCATGTGTACTTAACACGGGAGGGGCCGTGAGTGCGGAGATAGGACTCTTTGGAGAGTTAGGGATTGGCATTCCGGAACAAACTGCAGGAAAGGCCCTTGTAGGGGAAGCTGCAGATTTGTTTGGTCCAAAGAGTTCTGGCCTAATAAGTGGGAGCTGACCAATGAGAACACTTGGACACAGGGAGGGGAACAACACACACTGGCGCCTGTCGGCAGGTGGGGTGGGTGGGGATAGAGCATTAGGAAAAACAGCTAATGCATGCTGGGCTTAATACCTAGGTGATGGGTTGATAGGTGCAGCAAACCACCATGGTACACGTTTACCTATGAAACAAATCTGCACATCCTGCACATGTACCCTAGAATTTATATGTATATCACACAAAGAGTTTTGGAGTGGTTATTCCTGGCATGAGAACCTTGGCTGGATTGGAAAGCCTTTTCCGTTATGATGGTTGTTTTCTCTTTGTCTCTTCCTGCTGATGTAATTTGTTCCGTGAACTGAGTGATGGATGTTTGTCTGGGCGCTTCAACAGGCATGGCTAGAGCAGGTATTGTGTATGTCTCCAAGGTGACACGCAGACCTGGGGTTCAAAAGCTCTAGTTCTCTGACATTGCTGACACTAGGTATCTTGTGAGTTGCCAGCCCCTGGCGAATAGAAACAAGATCCATCCAGGGTGGTTTTGCGACTAACATGTTGCCTTGGGACAGGTAATTTCATCCCACTGGGCCTCCACTAATTTCCTATAAAATAAAAACATTGGGTTTTATTTTGAGGACACTTCTAGCCTTAAAATTCTTCAGTCTGTAAGGCCTCAGGCTCCTAGGAGGAGTAACCATACTCATGGGCAACTGTGAATCTTGTGGAAACACCACTGATGTCAACTCTCTTCTCTAATGACCTCAGCTTAACTAATGTATTTCAGAAGCTGAATTTATAAGAAGTCTCCCGTCTCCCCACTAGAGTTTAACTATGGTTCGTTCACTCAGAGCTTAGACCTGGGTTTAAATGCTGTTCTACCAGTTTCCAGTTCAGAGGTTGCTATAATAATTTTAATAATTTTTTTTTTTAATTTTGAGACAGTCTCTCTCTGTTGCCCAAGCTGGAGTGCAGTGGCACAGTCTTGGCTCACTGCAACCTCCACCTCCTGGGTGCAAGCGATTCTCGTGTCTCAGCCTCTCAAGTAGCTGGGATTACAGGTGAGTGCCACCACATCTGGCTAATTTTTGTATTTTTTTTAGTAGAGACAGGGTTTCACCATGTTGGCCAGGCTGGTCTGGAACTCCTGGCCTCAAGTGATCCACCCGCCTCAGCCTCCCAAAGTGCTGGGATTATAGGCATGAGCCACCACACTCGGCCTTATAATAATTTTCTACTGCTGCTGAAACCACCACAAATTTAGCTGTTTCAAATGCCACAAGTTTATTAATCTTTCCATTCTGTAAATCAGAAGTCTGACACAGGTCTCACAGGGCTGTAATCAAGGTGGCAGGGCTCTGTGCTGCTCTGGAGGCTCTAGGGGAGAGTCTGTTTCTGTGCTCATTCAGGTTCCTGGTAGAATATAGTCCTTGTGACTGGAGGACTGAGGTTCTGTTTCTTTGCTGAGTGTCAGTTGAGGACCATTCTTAGCTTCTAAAGGCCGCCTGTGTGCCTTGGCTTAGGGAACCCTTCGTGTCTTCATCTCATTCTTCAAATTTCTTGCCTCTTTTTCTGTTGTCGGTCATGAGTCTTTGACAGACTCTGCTACCTTCTTCCTCTTTCAATGACCCCTGGGATTACATTGGGCCCATTGAATAATCCAAAATAATCTCCTTAATCTCATCTACAAAGTCACTTGCCATGCAAGGTCTCCTGTTTTCACAGGTTCCTGGAGTTAGGATACGGACATTTTTGGGGAAGAGAGGCATTATTCTACCTACCACATAAGTTAGTTGCATAAATTAGTTCTCTTCCTCAATCTTGTTTCCTCCCCCTGTAATTGGAGGCAAAGGTTCAGTTTACCTTATGGTATTATTGTGAGGATTAACTCCAGTTACTATGTCAAGAGCATCTATCTTAGCAACTGGCCCTTGATATTTGCTCACCAAATGGAAGTTAACACAGGAACAAGGTGTATTAGTCCATTCTCACACTGCTATAAAGAAGTACCTGAGACTGGGTAATTTATAAAGAAAAGAGGTTTAATTGGCTCGCAGTTCTTTGGGCTGTATAGGCTTCTGCTTCTGGGAAGGCCTTAGGAAACTTAGAATCATGGTGGAGAAGGGGAAGCAAGAATGCCTTACTTGGCGGGAGCAGGAGGAAGACAGCAAAGGGGGAAGTGCTACACACTTTCAAACAACCAGATTTCCTAAGCTCTGCCACAAGACAGCACTAGGGGGATGGTGCTGAACTGTTAGAAACCACCCCATAATCCAGTCACCTCCCACCAGGTCCCTCCTCCGACACTGGGGATTAAAATTCAACATGAGATTTTGGAGGTGTATTAGTCCATTTTCATGCTGCTGATAAAGACATACCGAAGACTGGGTAATTTGTAAAGAAATAGAGGTTTAATGGACTCACAGTTCCACGTGGCTAGGGATGCCTCACAATCATGGCAGAGGGTGAAAGGCACGTCTTACTGGCAGCAGACAAGACAGAAATATGAGAGCCAAGTGAAAGGGGAAACCCCTTATAAAACCATCAGCTCTTGTGTGACTTATTCACTACCACAAGAACAGTATGGGGGAAACCGTCCCCAGTGATTCAATTATCTCCCACCAGGTCCCTCCCACAACACGTGGGAATTATGGGAGTTACAATTCAAAATGAGATTTGGGTGGGAACACAACCAAACCATATCACAAGGTCTTGCCTAATGGCTTGCATTCAATGTCATAATCATATGGGCCCTTAAAAGTAGAAGCGGCTCCTAAATATTTAAGAACTAACAGCTTCTTTTATAACCCTGTTGGAAGAAACATTTCCAACCCAATCTAAAGTAACCTGGCCCTTATGCCAGGTCACCCTCTAACCCAGTGGTTCTTAGTGTGATCCCTGAACCAGCAGAAACGCAGCACCTGAGTGCTGGCTCAAAATGCACATTCTTGAGCCTTACACTAGCCCACCTGAATTAAAACCTCTAGGGCTGGAGTCTAATCATCTACTTAAGAGCCCTCCAGGTGATTCTGATGCTCCCTAAAGTTTGAGAACCACTGTTATGACCCTCTTTTATTTTCGTCCTAGTCTTTAGCACCAGTTGGTGTAGGAGTTGAGACCTACTTCACAGTAGTAAGTATACTGATGAGTGAATTCCTTAAATGTTATTAAATAATTATTTGATGTGTTAAATGTTTTATGTTCAATTTCTTTGGATTGCATATATATATGTGCATATATATGTGTATTTGTGTGTGTATATATAATGTATGTATATGTGTGTTTTTACGTATATATGTAATATATATTATATATGTTTATATACAGTTGACCCTAAAACAATGCAGGGTTAGGGACACTGACCACCTACACGGTTGAAGATTCAAGTTTAACTTTTGACTCCCCCAAAACTTAATTACTAATAGCCTACTGTTGACCAGAAACTTTACCGATAACATAAACAGTTGATTAACACACATTTGGTGTGTTATATGTATTGCCTACTGTATTCTTATGATAAAGTAAGCTAGAGAAAAGAAAATGTTACTTAGAAAATCGTAAGGAAGAGAAAATCCATTACAGTTCTGTACTATAGTTATTGATACCATCAGTTTATGTCGTCTGTTTACAAGATGAATTACTTGTCTGAAATGGCAGGCGGCCACAACTGCAGACCTCAATCTGTAGTACATATCAAGTAGTTCAACTGTTTTTTGGTAACATCATGACTTTTTTCTGCTTCTTGGGAGCGTGGCCAGCATCACTTGTGGCACCCTGTAAGGGTCTCATGTGTCATTCAAGTTTTACACTATTGCGCTTAACACGATAAAGAAAATACTCAAGAACTGCAAGAGATCACCTTTTACTGTGATGTGCAATTTCTTAAAGAGGCAAACAGCTCACAGATAATTAGCATCACATGATACTAATCATATCCCTGCTGATAAGTAGATCCTTGCAACACTTGAGCTCACTGCAATAGCAACAGGAGGTGGCTATGGCATTATTAACAGTATATACTATAGTTGATTTTATGCAGTATGATTTAATACTGCATCTTTACATTTGTTTACATTTCTCTTTACTTTGGTGCCATGTCTGGTCTGTGTTTGTGTGTGTAAGTTTTAATAATTTATTTTTTTGAGACAGGGTCTTACTCTGTCGCCCAGGTGGGAGTGCAGTGGTGTGTCTTGGCCCACTGCAGCCTCAACCTCCCAGGCTCAAGCAATCCTTCCACCTCAGCCTCCTGAGTAGTTGGAACTACAGGCACACGCCACCACACCTGGCTATTTTTTTTTTTGTAGAGATGGGGTTTTGCCAGTCTCGTCTCAAACTCTTGGCTCAAGCAATCCACCCACCTCGGCCCCTCAAAGTGCTGAAATTACAGGCAAGATCCACCATGCCTGGCTGACACATTTTAACTTTATAATAGATTTGTGTATGTTTTTGGGTAGTGATAAAATAGACTAGTATCTATATACATTTTATACATTCATGACATACCTAAATTTTTCTTAATTTTAAAAAATATTTCTAGGCTATGCAGTTTATCTAACAGTTTTTTCAATTGCAAATCTCCAAAATATTTTCCAATATATTTTCAGAAAAAAAATTGCATATAAATGGACCCCTGCAGTTCAAACCTGTGTTGTTCAAGGGTCAAATGTGTGTGGGTGTATATATATATTTAATTGATATTTGGGGGGCCGGTTGGGGTTTTGGATGAACAGTAACACGTTTTCCTACTTAAAATAGTGGAAATAGACTCATTACATTTTCTACCCAAATACCCAGAACATTTGCTATCTAAAACATTTTCAGGAACTTGATAAGAAGTGCCTGTATTTTTTTTTTTTCTCGGAGATACGGGGTTTAAGTTCTTTTTTAAAAATTATACTTTACGTTCTGGGGTACATGTGCACAATGTGCAGGTTTGTTACATAGGTATACATGTGCTATGTTGGTGTGCTGCACCCATCAACTTGTCGTTTACATTAGGTATTTCTCCTAATGCTATCCCTCCCCCACCCCCCAACTCCCGACAGGCCCTGGTGTCTGATGTTCCCCTCCCTGTGTCCATGTGTTCTCATTGTTTAACTCCCACTGACAAGTGAGAACATGTGGTGTTTGGTTTTCTCTTCTTGTGTTACTTTGCTGAGAATGATGGTTTCCAGTTTCATCCATGTCCCTGCAAAGGACATGAACTCATCCTTTTTCCTGCAAAGAACTATAACTCATAGTATTCCATGGTGTATATGTGCCACATTTTCTTTATCCAGTCTATCATTGATGGGTATTTGGGTTGGTTCCAAGAATTTGCTATTGTGAACAGTGCTGCAATAAGCATACGTGTGCATGTGTCTTTATAGTAGAATGATTTATAATCCTTTGGATATATACCCAGTAATGGGATTGCTGGGTCAGATGTTCTAGATCCTTGAGGAGTCACCATACCGTCTTCCACAATGGTTGAACTAATTTACACTCCCACCAACAGTGTAAAAGCATTCCTGTTTCTCCACATCCTCTCCAGCATCTGTTGTTTCCTGACTTTTTAATGATCGCCATTCTAACTGGTGTGAGATGGTATCTCATTGTGGTTTTGATTTGCATTTCTCTAATGACCAGTGATGGTGAGCATTTTTTCATAAGTTTGTTGGCTGCATAAATGTCTTCTTTTGAGAAGTGTCTGTTTATATCCTTCACCCACTTTTTGATGAAATTGTTTGTTTTTTCTTGTAAATTTGTTTATTTGTAGATTCTGGATATTAGCCCTTTGTCAGATGGATAGATTGCAAACATTTTCTCCCATTCTTTAGGTTGCCTTTTCACTCTGCTGACAGTTTCTTTTGCTGTGCAGAAGCTCTTTAGTTTAATTAGATCCCATTTGTCTATTTTGGCTTTTGTTGCCATTGCTTTTGGTGTTTTAGTCATGAAGTCTTTGTCCATGCCTATGTCCTGAATGGTATTGCCTAGGTTTTCTTCTAGGGTTTTTATGGTTTTAGGTCTTACATTTAAGTCTTTAATCCATCTTAAGTTAACTTTTGTGTAAGGTGTAAGGAAAGGATCCAGTTTCAGCTTTCTACATATGGCTAGCCAGTTTTCTCAGAACCATTTATTAAATAGGGAATCCTTTCCCTGTAGCTTGTTTTTGTCAGGTTTGTCAAAGATCAGATGGTTGTAGATGTGTGGTGTTATTTCTGAGGCCTTTGTTCTGTTCCATTGGTCTATATATCTGTTTCGGTACCAGTACCATGCTGTTTTGGTTACTGTAGCCTTGTAGTATAGTTTGAAGTCAGGTAGCGTGATGCCTCCAGCTTTGTTCTTTTGGCTTAGGATTGTCTTGGCTATGTGGGCTCTTTTTTGGTTCCATATGAAATTTAAAGTAGTTTTTTCCAATTCTGTGAAGAAAGTCAGTGGTAGCTTGATGGGAATAGCATTGAATCTATAAACTACTTTGGGCAGTGTGGCCATTTTCATGATATTGATTCTTCCTATCCATGAACATGGAATTTTCTTCCATTTGTTTATGTCCTCTTTTATTTCCTTGAGCAGTGGTTTGTAGTTCTCCCTGAAGAGGTCCTTCACATCCCTTGTGAGTTAGATTCCTAGGTATTTTATTCTTTTTATAGCAATTGTGAATGGGAGTTCACTCATGATTTGGCTCTCTGTTTGTCTGTTATTGGTGTATAGGAATGCTTGTGATTTTTGCACATTGATTTTGTATCCTGAGACTTTGCTGAAGTTGCTTATCAGCTGAAGGAGATTTTGTGCTGAGACGATGGGATTTTCTAAATACACAGTCATGTCATCTGCAAACAGACAATTTGACTTCCTTTTTTCCAATTGAATACCCTTTATTTCTTTCTGTTGCCTAATTGCCCTGGCCAGAACTTCCAATACTGTGTTGAATAGGAATGGTGAGAGAGGGCATCCTTGTCTTGTGCCAGTTTTCAAGGGGAATGCTTCCAGTTTTTGCCCATTCAGTATGATATTGGCTGTGGGTTTGTCATAAATAGCTCTTATTATTTTGAGATACATTCCATCAATATCTAGTTTATTGAGAGTTTTTAGCATGAAGCGCTGTTGAATTTTGTTGAAGGCGTTTTCTGTGTCTATTGAGATAATCATGTGGTTTTTGTCGTTGGTTCTGTTTATGTGATGGATTATGTTTATTGATTTGCATATGTTGAACCAGCCTTGCATCCCAGGGATGAAGCCGACTTGATTGTGGTGAATGAGCTTTTTGATGTGCTGCTGGATTCAGTTTGCCAGTATTTTATTGAGGATTTTCACATAGATGTTCATCAGGGATATTGGCCTAAAATTTTGTTGTTGTTGTGTCTCTGCCAGGTTTCGGTGTCAAGATGATGCTGGCCTCATAAAATGAGTTAGGGAGGATTCCCTCTTTTTCTATTGATTGGAATAGTTTCAGAAGGAATGGTACCAGCTCCTCTTTGTACCTCTGGTAGAATTCAGCTATTAATCCATCTGGTCCTGGACTTTTTTTGGTTGGTAGGCTATTAATTATTGCCTTAATTTCAGAACCTGTTATTGGTCTGTTCAGAGATTCGACTTCTTCCTGGTTTAGTCTTGGGAGGGTGTATGTGCCCAGGAATTTATCCATTTCTTCTAGATTTTCTAGTTTATTTGCGTAGAAGTGTTTACAGTATTCTCTGATGGTAGTTTGTATTTCTGTGGGATTGGTAGTGATATCCCCTTTATCATTTTTTATTGCGTCTATTTGATTCTTCTCTCTTTCCTTCTTTATTAGTCTGGCTAACAGTCTATTCTGTTGATCTTTTCAAAAAACCAGCTCCTGGATTCATTGATTTTTTGAAGGGTCTTTTGTATCTCTATCTCCTTCACATCTGCTCTGATCTTAGTTATTTCTTGTCGTCTGTTAGCTTTTGAATTTGTTTGCTCTTGCTTCTCTAGTTCTTTTAATTGTGATGTTAGGGTGTCAATTTTAGATCTTTCCTGCTTTCTCTTGTGGGCATTTAGTGCTATAAATTTCCCTCTACACACTGCTTTAAATGTGTCTCAGAGATTCTGGTACGTCGTGTCTTTGTTCTCATTGGTTTCAAAGAACATCTTTATGTCTGCCTTCATTTCGTTATTTACCCAGTAATTCAGGAGCAGGTTGTTCAGTTTCCATGTAGTTGTGCGGTTTTGAGTGGGTTTCTTAATCCTGAGTTCTAATTTGATTGCACTGTGTTCTGAGAGACAGTTTGTTGTGATTTCTGTTCTTTTACATTTGCTGAGGAGTGTTTTACTTCCAATTATGTGGTCAATTTTAGAATAATTACCATGCGGTGCTAAGAAGAATGTATATTCTGTTGATTTGGGATGGAGAGTTCTGTAGATGTCTGTTAGGTCCACTTGGTCCAGAGCTGAGTTCAAGTCCTGGATATCCTTGTTAATTTCCTGTCTTTTGATCTGTCTAATATTGACAGTGGGGTGTTAAAGTCTCCCACTATTATTGTGTGGAAATCTAAGTCTCTTTGTAGGTCTCTAAGAACTTGCTTTATGCGTCTAGGTGCTCCTGTGTTGGGTGCATATATATTTAGGATAGTTAGCTCTTCTTGTTGCATTGATCTCCTTACCATTATGTAATGCCCTTCTTTATCTCTTTTGATCTTTGTTGGTTTAAAGTCTTTTATCAGAGACTAGGATTGCAACCCCTGCTTTTTTTGCTTTCCATTTGCTTGGCAGATCTTAATTCATTGTGAGTAGCCTTCCACGCCCATTACTTTTCCTGGCTATGCGGTTCCCCACCATGGAAGTGTACCATAGTATACTCATTTCCTTATTGTTGGATGTGTGTATCACTAAATTTTTGCTATTTTAAAGAATGTTTGTATGCCCTTGACTATTTCTTATTCCTGTGATGAAAGGCCTACTTGGAGCTCCCATTACGGAAATGACTTTAGAGTCAACTTACGCACCACCCAGGAAAGCCTGCCGTTCCTTCATCATGGGGGAAGACTTGTTCCTACATATCTTCTTTGAGGGATTTTTCAGTTGTGCATTCTTTAGAATGATTAAAAATCATTCAGAACAATAGCAGTATTATTAGAACAGTCGTTAGGGACAAACCCACCGTTATTAATGAATCCTGAAATGTTTGGAAAGGAGTTGAGTGTTGATGCTTTCTGAGTGTATCTTGCATTTAAGTACTTGGTTTGGGTGGAATGGCAACACTTTTGGTTCATTTACCATCTTATCTACACTTAACTTATGGGCATCTTCTTTTTTTTTTTTTTTTTTCCTTAAAATGGAGGGTGTTTTAGTCTAGGGAGTAGTTTTACCAAAAGATAGATGATCTATGACTACTAGAAAAGGAACATTGTCATGTGTGAATTTTCCTGATGTTTCTGATTGTAAAAGTAATACTTGGTTAATTATAGAATATTTGGGGAAAGGATGGCAAAAAGTAAAGGATCAGGAAGAAAAATAAAAAGCCATAAATGATCTTGCTTAGTGTTAGTTACCATCTACATTGTAGGGCATTTATAAAATAGCTTTAAAACAATCAGCTGTTTCTTTTTCTGCCTCCCGCCCTCCTCCGCCCCCCATACACATACACATACTCCATATGAACGTTTTGCTCTTGGAAATTCATATTTTGGCAGTGGTTCATAAAGGCCTGGTCTTATTTTGATGGAACAGCCCGACCTTGGCATCTACACATAGCTACTTCCTTTCTCTGCTGTCTTGGCTTCCCCTGCAGCATGTCATGGGATCAGCTATAGCAACAACCAGCCAGTCATGTGGAACTGAGGCTAAGACTTGACACTCCCCAACCATCCCAGAAAACTGAGGGCTTCCTTAGGTTTGATGCCTGAGGTCTCCCCTGCTCATTCAACCCAGGGTGTTTCTCTGGCTTCCTCACCTCACATCACCCTCTGTCTGCCTTCCCACCGTTCACCCCCCAACACTCCCTCCCCACACAATTTCTTCCTCAAGTAACCTCATTACTCCTGAGTAGCACTAACAGTGGCCACAGCTTTTTGAGTGCCATCTTTGGCCAGGCATTGTGCTATGCAGTACATGTAACTATCTCCATGCTTACTAGCCAAAGCGTGATCAGAGGTTAACACATAGCAAAGAGGTGACAGAGCCAGAACTATCTGGCCTTGTTCAGAGGCCTCCAGATTGGACTGGAATGCCTGTGCTCTGAACCCTTTCATTGTGTTCTTCCTGCTTTCTTAGCAGGCCACTTCTTTCTAAGGTACTTCAAAGAACAGCTCCCCATCAGGGGCCCTGTGTGTTGTGGCAGTGTGATTTATGTCAAGGACCATTCCAAGGGAAGTGTCCTGAACCGGCAGCTCCTGCCAGCCTGACACCTTTCCAGTGCCTAACCCGAGTCAGGAGATTCCTTCCTTCCTCCTTCCGTGGGGATGCCTGACATTGTAGCTACATTGGGTTTTTGTTTGTTTGTTTGGAGAGAGGACCTTGCTGTGTCACCCAGGCTGGAGTGCAGTGGCACAGTCACAGCTCACTGTAGCCTTTACCTCCTGGGCTCAAGCGATCCTCCCACCTCAGCCTCCCAAGTAGCTGGGACTACAGTTATGTGCCACCACACCAGTCTAATTTTTTTTTAATGTTTTTATTTTTGTAGAGACAGGGTCTCACTATAATACCCAGGCTCCGATCATGCTATGCTTAACTTTTAGGAAGTGTCTGGAGCTCTCTGTTCGGGGACCTCAGACCAATACCTTCCTCTCCCTGCTCACTTGTAGCAGTTCCTTGTATACTGGAGCCCTGTCTAACCTGAGTCTATAAATCACCCTTCCTACTCAGAAACCCCTGAAAATGGGGAACCAAGCAAGCCGCTGGCATGTGCTGGAGCCCAGGTCTCCTGGGAAGGTCCACATGGGGGATGGTGTCCCGTAGCAGGCTGTAGGTTTCAGAGCCCAGCGGGTGGTGGGGAGCCCTCAATTTGTAAGGAAAGGCCAGATGACAATTGTCTTTCTTCCTGGTTCCTCACATATCATAAAACCACCTCTTTCTCATCTCCACCACCCCCATCTCCAGGCTTGACTCACTGATTGTTTTCTTTTTTGGACAATGTCAGACCCTGCCCTTTTCCTGGAACTTCTCAGTCCTCCACTGGCCTGCGTCAGCAAATTCCTAAGTAGCAGATGACCTTCAAGATGTGTGAGAAGGAAGGGACAGGAATGATTGTCAGGATTGTCAGTTCCCCAGGGAACTCTGCATTTCTGACTTAGGGAGGGTAGATGACTCACCCTTCCAAGAACCCATCTGTCTGTCCGGGCCTGTGGGGCTCTGGAGAATAGAATATGGAGTACCCTGGTTTACAGGCACTGCCACCTCCTTATTTCAGGATGGGTTCAGGGATGTAGGATTGGAGTTGGGAGATTTCTTAGTTCTGCTATGGATGCTTTGTACTTAGGCAAGTTCAAAACCTCCCTAAGCTTTGGCTTCTTTACTGGGTAAAGTAGGGTTGGAGGCATTTCAGGCTTTCCTTCTTCTCACCTGATGCTATCACTACACATCTAGGCATTCACGTAATGGAAACTTACAAAGTTGCTCAATACCTCTCTTCATGTCCCCAAAGAGAGCAAGCAAGTGTCCCCATTATACTTCTTACAGTGAGGAGCCAGAGCTTCCAGGTATGCTAAGCCATTGCTCCCTGTTCCACTGCTGAATGCATGCTGGTGCCTTCCAGAGTCACCCCTTTGGTCTGATTCACTTAGTGCTGTGGCTCCGAGAAGTGGCCCTCTCTTTCAGCCAGCAGCTTGGGGTGGGGCCAGTAGAGTGGGAACCACAGTGGCTATATGAGTCAATTTGCTCATATTGTCATTTGACTCACTGACCCTGATGGGGAAGATAGTGTTATTCCCACAGTGTGGTAGTACACACTGGGGCTTATAGGGACTGAGCCTACTCAAGGGTATATGGTGCTGTGGGTCAGAGCTGGGGCATGGCCCAGGGATTCAGTGTGCCTTGACTCCCCCTGTAAATGTTCCTCTCAGAAGCCTTCTTGGCCTTCCAGCCCTTGGTTTTTGAGACAACCAGCAGTCATTTGTTCGTTCCTGACATTCCTTCCTGTCCCTTCCTTCCAGGTTCTGTGGACAATCACAATGGGAATCCAAGGAGGGTCTGTCCTGTTCGGGCTGCTGCTCGTCCTGGCTGTCTTCTGCCATTCAGGTGAGTGCTCCAGTCTCAGGACATGGATCTAGGCTGCCTTGGCCATGAACTCCCTTCTTAAGCCTCAGTTTCAGCCCCAGCTGCTCCTCCAGGCCTGGCTTTGGTTCTTTTGCCTTCCAGTGTTACAGGTCTGGGGTTGTATGACAGCTCCTTCCTATGTTATGACCTTGTCCTCAGTGGGGCATCGTCCTGAGTTACAGCCCGTCCTGAGTTACAGCGTGGCTTTTGGCAGGGGTGGGTCAACAATCGGCGGCTGAAGTTTCACTCCTGTCACCATAAGCTGCTTGGGGACACCAATGGATACCATTCTTAGAGTGCTGTGCAAGTCCCTTTGGGGTCCACTCTGCTTAGAGCCATCTGAGCTCAGTCCTTCTGCTCTGAGGCTCCTCCTGTGTTTTAATGATGATGATGGTCATAGTGACAGCAGCAGCAGCTAACTAACCCTGAAGCATTTATGTGCCAGTCACTACTCTAAGCATTTTACGTGTATTTGCTTATTTAATCCTCATGCCAACCTGATGGAGTTGGTGGTATTTTTATCCTTGTTTTACAAGCAACAAGATTGAGGCCTCCCCAAAATTAATAACTTGTCAAATAACACACAGAAGTGGTACACGGGAATGTGAACACACAGTCTGGCAACAGAGTCCCTGCTCTTCCCTCCTGCTCCAGGCCATCTGTCACTGGGCCACCCCCTCTCCTCAGCCACCCCTCCCCTGGTTGCTGGAGGAAATTGTGTGCTTCTGAGTCAACTTCTATAACAGTGGAAACACACATGCTTCATTGTAAAGATCAAGTGTGGTTGTCTGCCTGTGTCATGTTGGTATAATATCTTGGCCACTGCTGGTTTTTTGTTTTTTATAAATATGGTTGGTGGGGGGAGCAGAAAAGAAAGTGGCAATACAGTGAGCAATTTAAAAAAAGATTTCCACACCACTGTAGCATGTCTTAGAATATTAACAGCAACCATATATTCACTGTTTATTGTTTACTGGGGACTGTGCCAGAGCCTGTCTCATTTAAATCCGTCCAGCCATTCCGGGAGGTCGGTACTGTTACCTCCCATATTACAGCTGAGGAAATGAAGGCAAAGTAGTAACTTGGCGCCAGGACACACTTTAATATGTTCTCCCTTTCTGAGCAGAAAGAGAAGTCATGGCACCCCTTCTTCCCCACCTTCCGTGATTCTAGCCAGGGTGCACTGTAATGTGGTTCACCTGTGTTAAAACACTATATTTTTTCTATAATTATTTTTTATTTATTCATTTTTCTTGGTTCCTTCTTTTTTTCTGTCTCTGCTGCTTAAGTTGGAATATTTTCTAGAATTTTAATAGCCCAGTGACATCCTACTTCCAGCAGTCTGCATTTGTTTATGGAGCAAGCTTGGGACCATCAGCTTCTCTGTGACAAGTCTTGGGGTGCACTTCAGCCCTTTCTCAGAGAATTGAGATGTGAAGCTCACATGCCCACAGATGAGAGGCCTTCTTTGCTGCTGCCCAAAAGGGTCTCAGGACCCTGCAGGGGAACTTTCCTCTGAGCTCTGCCTCTTATGGCCCAGGGGAAACCTCGTCTACCCTGGCTTAGTGGCTAAAATATCAAACCATTGTCCACTGACCTATTGCTTGTTTTTTTTTGTTTGTTTTTTTCAGGGGGATGGAGTCTCACTCTGTCGCCCAGGCTGGAGCGCAGTGGCGCGATCTCGGCTCACTGCAACCTCCGTGTCCCAGGTTCCAGCGATTCTCCTGCCTCAGTCTTCTGAGTAGCTGGGATTACAGGAGCATGCCACTATGCCTGGCTAATTTTTGTATTTTTTTTTATTTACTTTTTAATTTTTGTATTTTTAGTAGAGGCGGGCTTTCACCATGTTGGCCAGGCTGGTCTGGAATTCCTGACCTCAAATGATCCACCTACCTCAGCCTGCCAAAGTGTTGGGATTACAGGCGTGAGCCATTGCACCTGGCCCTGTTGCTTGTTTTTGACCTCAGTTTCCACCATAATCTAGAGTTTCCTTCTCTTCCCACTCAGGTCAATTAGAAGAACATCATGGTTAACCAAGCTTGGATTTTAGAACTGACAGCCTGAGTTTGAGCTCAGCTCGGTCACTTAGTAGCTGTGTGGCTTTGAACAATTTAGTTAACATCTTAGTCTTAGTTTTCTCTTGCAAGGTGGGGATGAAGATAATTGAGCCTAGTTCTCTTAACAATCCTATGAAGAGCTTAGCACATAGATGCACATATATTTGAACACTGAATGAACATGTTTGCCATGAATATTTTTGCCCACAGACGTTCCAACCATGGGTTTTAGCCTTTCCTTCTAAAGCTTTCTTAAGAGGCCAAATGAGCCCGGGATCTAGCCACCACAAAAATCCATGTCTACAGGTAACCTTTTAAAATGGCCCTCAAACATGGCCAGTCTCAAGAACAACACCCTTCATCTTAGACTCTTTTCATTTCATGCGTGTGAATACATGTCTGGCACAAGGAAGGGACCAAAGAAAAATTGCATCTTTGCGCCTTCTCCTTGTGGCTTCCCTCTCACACGGGCATGACAGCCACAGGCTGACAGTGGGGGAGAACAAACAAAGCCTGGTGGATGGGGCCCTGCCCACAGGCCCCAGGGCTGCCGCCAGCTCTGCTGCTTTGTAGCCAGGTGTCCTTGTGTGAGTCACATCACCTCTCCAGACATCTGTCTTGTCATCTGCAAAAAAGTTGGGGAGGAGGTTGGTTTTTATTTTATTTTATTTTATTTATTTTTTAGACATGGTCTCGCTCTGTCTCCCAGGCTGGAGTGCAGTGGTGCAAGCTTGGCTCACTGCACCCTCCACCTCCCAAGCTCAAATGATTCTCATGCCTTAGCCTCCTGAATAGCTGGGATTACAGGCATGTACCACCATGCCCGGCTAATCTTTGTATATTTTGTAGAGGCGAGGTTTCACCATGTTGGCCAGGGTGGTCTCAAACTCCTGGCTACAAGTGATCCACCCACCTCGGCCTCCCAAAGTGCTGGGATTGTAGGTGTGAGCCGCCACACCTGGCCTAGTTTGTTGTTGTTTTTTAAAACTAATATTTCAAGGCATTAATCTGTAACCTTCACAAGTCAGAGGATCCTCTATTGGGTAGGATTTCACACCTGTGAGGGCAGACATGGCCATTTCAGATGCTCTAGAGAACTGGGTTCCTGTGTGTGCTCAGAAAGTGAGGACCCACCTTGCTTCCACTGGACTTTCCACTGAAAAATCTATTTCCATGGTGATAAACCTAGCCTTCAGCCTTAGAACTAGAAGTCAGCTGTTGGGCTCTAAAACCCACACTTGGTTTAACCATGACATTCTTTTGTGAGATTTTACGTGTTTCATCTTTGAAAATGTCTTTTCACAGAGGTAGGTACTTCCAAATACTGATTACATGGTAGAAGTCATATGGCATGAAGATAGTTTATCTCTGATGATGGAAAAGGGGGTATCCATACAAACCAGGAAGATTTCCTTCCAACTCTTGCTTCCTCAGTCTCTCCCCATCACACGTGTGGACTGTAACTCATCTTTTTGTTGTCACTGTTGTTACAAAAATGGAGAAGGAAAAATAACCCAGCAAAAACTGACAGCTAGCAAGGATGAGTCTTAAGAATTGACTGGGAGCAATAATTGTTTTTCAAACTAGGGAACTGGAGGCAATTTGCTTCTGATGTAAGATGACCCTCACGTTGTGTCTGCTGGTACCCAGCTGTCCTATGCCCATGGGTTTAAAGTGCACAGCTGTTGTCTTGTCTTTGACAGTGTGTACTCCTGGCATTCGGTCAGTCCCTTAGAAGGGGGTAGTTCAGTAATGATACCCTGTCCCAGAGGTTACCAAACTTTTTCTGTACAGGACCAGATAGCAATTTTTTTTTTTTTTTAAACAGAGTTTTGCTCTGTCACCCAAGCTGGAGTGCAGTGGTGCAATTGTGGCTCACTGCAACCTCTGCCTCCTGGGTTCAAGCGATTCTCCTGCCTCAGCCTCCCAAGTAGCTGGGATTATAGGTGTGCACCACCATGCCTGGCTAATTTTTTTATTTTTAGTAGAGATGGGGTTTCGCTATGTTGGCCAGGCTGGTGTCAAACTCCTGACCTCAGGTGATCCACCCTCCTCGGCTTCCCTAAGTGCTGGGATTACAGGCGTGAGCCACTGCGCCTGGCCCAGATAGTAAATATTTTAAGCTTTGCAGACCAAGAGGCAAAATCAAGGGTATTATGAGACTTACCTCAATAATAAGAAACAAAATTTTCACAGATTTTTTTATTGACAAAATTCATAACATAATTATTGAGTCCAGCATAATAATACACATCTACTAATGAGGGGAATAGAATTCTTTTTAGGGGGATAACCATTTGCTTAATTGGGGTTCAAAATTAGTGTTCCCTCGCATCAAATCAATTGCAGATGTTCATCTATTAATACTAATCTGTGATGACATTTTACATATTTCATTTTGAAAATGTATTTTCACGCAGATAGGTATTGCCAGACATTGATCATCAACCCACGAGGATGTGATTTAATTGGGCATATTCATTGCTTGGAAGACACTTATAGAATTCTGTTTGTTTCTCGGTAATTTCTTCTTAACACATCATTACATTGCAGACTAATCTCCTTCCAGTTGCAGGTTAGGAGGAAGCTTCTCAATTGCACAGTTAGATGGATATTCAAATGTGGATATTTCCTTTGTGCTTGCATCAGGGTCCAAAAAATGTTGCTGGAACTGTAGTTTGAATTTGGAAAGATATAACTGCTATACATTTGTGCGGGAGTGGAAGTATACCACAAGTTGCTGACTTTGGGCCCATATTAATGGAGATGGTGGGCTGCCAGGGGACAAGTCAGTGCTGCTTTAAGAGATCCTGACTTTCTTCCTGATTCTAGGTCATAGCCTGCAGTGCTACAACTGTCCTAACCCAACTGCTGACTGCAAAACAGCCGTCAATTGTTCATCTGATTTTGATGCGTGTCTCATTACCAAAGCTGGTAAGAGCCTCCCCTGTCTGTCTCCTAAATGTAATGGGGTAATAAGTGCCTGGGAAAAAAATTGTGCCACTGTAATCCTCATTAGGCTTGCATCAAGTAATAGCTACCATTTATTAGCGTCAGGTGTGTATTGGGCTAAGCACTTTCTTCATACATTTTAAATTTAATGTTTTGCACTTCTAAGGGTGATCTTTTATTTCCATTTGATAAATGTGGAAATGGAGGTTCAGATTAAGCAAGAAATTATGGTTAAGTAACCGACTCAGGAATTGAACATGGAAGTCCATCTGATTCCAAAGCTTGTGCTCTTTTACAGCAGCCCTGTGCTGCCTCCCAGACCTTGGAGAACCTACTGTGTGCCCAGCAGAGGGTTAGGAGCTAGGGATGCAAAGATAAAGAAAGGACACATACAATTAAAATTATGACAAAGGCCTGTTTGGCTGTCCTAAATGTCATTATATATGCCTCTGTCTCATTCCATGGGGTATCTGGTATATTCAGAGTCCTGAGGAGACTCAAGCTGAGCTCAAAGGACACGTAGGAGGTAAGAGGGCTAAGAAGGGAAGGGTGTGCCTGGGAGGGGCAACAGCAGGTGCCAGGGCTCGGTAGCCTCAGAGCAAGGTGCTCATGAATTTGGGGATGGGCAATGCTAACATGCACAAGTCCTGTCCAGTCTGCATTTTCCAAATTTGTTAGACTACAGAATATTCACCTCCATCACCCTGTTAAAATAGAGTTTAGGAAGTGGTAGACAGAGGAAAGAAACCAGCAAAGACATGCCCTCTGTTCTTGCTGGGGTGTGGTTCTGGATAGAATCGATGTGTGCAAATGATGCCAGCGAGGAATGGCAGTTTCAGAATGTTCTTAGTGTCCAAGGTAAAACCCTCAGGCTTAGATTTCTAAGAGATTAATAATAAAAACACTCCACAAGGTTATTTGTACTCTTAGACCTTCTACACCAGCTCCCCCCAGTGTCAACATCAAGAAATGGTGAACATGTCAGGTAAACTCAGAAAAGCCTTGGGACACCCACATGTTCAGAAAAACCTGAGATAAAGATGATTAACTTCCCCAGAAAGGAGAAATCCCTCAATAACTAAAGACAAATTATAGTTACCCTGTCTAAAAAAACAGGGGCATCTGATAATTTTGATATATTTAGCTGGATTTGATAAATTTGATATAGTTTAGCTGGATTGCAGCTAAAACTCCAAACCTTCCATTCAGAGCTCTTGATTCTGTAGGGCACCAGTCCCTCTGCCCCCACTGGAAGACCATATTCATTCACTGTTAATGTAGGAAGCGTAGTAAGGCCCCTAGCGAGAACATGGTCATTATGTACGAGCACAGAAGACTTGGCTCTTTAGCTTGATCAACTGTGTCTCTTGGACTCCTCACTACTAAGTATAATTAAACTAAGTATAGTTTCCAAATGAGACGATAAGGGCAATTACTATGTGTTGAATGAATATTACAGCAGCAATTAGAGCTCTGACTTCTGTCCTGCCACCAGCTAGCTCTCTCCACCTCTGTTTTTCATTTATGAAATGTATGTGTTGGACAGCAGAGGTAGGGAGGAGAGGAAAGGAGGTCAAAGCCAAGATCTTTTTCCAGCTCTTAAATCCCAAAATTTCTTATAAATGGTTAATGTAAACAAAAATGAGACACACCTATTAAAATGGCCAAACTCCAAAACTCTGACAACTCCAGATGCTGGTGAGGATGTGGAACAATGGGAACTTTGTTTTTCTGGTTTTTTTTTTCTTTTTTGAGACAAGGTCTTGCTCTGTCACCTAGGCTAGAGGGCAGTGGTGCAATCTTGGCTCACTGCAACCTCTGCCTCCAGGGTTCAAGTGATTCTCATGCCTCAGCCTCCTGAGTAATTGGGATTACAGGCATAAGCCACCATGCCCAGCTAATTTTTGTATTTTTAGTAGAGACGGGGTTTCACTATTTTGCCCAGGCTCATCTCAAACTCCTGGCCTCAAGTGATCTGCCTGCCTCGGCCTCCCAAAGTGCTGGGATTACAGGCGTGAGCTACCACGCCCAGCAGCAGTGGGAACTTTGATTCATTCCTAGTGGGAATGCAAACCAGTATAGCTACTGTGGATGACAGTTTGGTAGTTTATTACAAAACTAAAATATAACACAATATATAATACTTGATATTTTGATAATTATATACAGTATATAATATTTTATAATAAATGTGTTACTGGTTTGTGTATTTACTATATTTTTTATCATGTTAGCATGTAGTCCTTCTACTTACTAAAAAAATTAACTATAAAACAGCCTCTCGGGAGGCTGAGGCAGAAGAATTGCTTGAACCCAGGAGGCAGAGGTTGCAGTGAGCCAAGGTCGTGCCATTGTACTCTAGCCTGGGTGACAGAACAAGACTCTGTCTCTACAAAAGAAAAAAAAAAAAAAAAACAGCCTCAGCAGGCAGGTCCTTCAGGAGGTATTCCAGAAGAAGGCATTGCTCTCCTAGGACAGGACAGCCCCATGAGTATTCTTACCCCTAAGACCTTCCAGTGGGACAAGATGAAGAGGTGGAAAACAGTGATACTGATGATCCAGACCCTATGTAGGACTAGGCTAATGTGTGTGCTTGTGTCTTCATTTTTAACAAAAACAAGAAAAGTTTTTAAAAATTTTTTTAAATAAAAAAGCTTATAAAATAAGAATAGAAAGAAAATATTTTTGTGCCACTGTATAACATGTTTGTGTTTTACCCTGTTTTATTACAAAGGTAAAAACATTTACAATTAAAAAATTTCTAAAGTAAAGTGGCAGTAAACTAGGGTTGATTTTTTAAAATAAGCTTAGTGTGGACTAAATGTACAATATTTAAAACATCTACAGTAGTGTACAGCAATGTCCTAGGCCTTCACATTCGCCCACCACTCATTCACTGACTTCCAATCTCACAAGCTCCATTCACAGTAAGTGCCCTGTACAGGTGTACCATTTTTAAAATCTTTTGTGTCATATTTTTACTGTATTTTTCTATGTTTAGATATGGTCAGATACACAAATATTTACCACTGCATTACAGTTGCCTACAGTATTCAGTATAGTAACTTGCTGTACAGGTTTGTAGCCTAAGAGCAATAGGACATACCACATAGCCTGAGTGTGTACTAGGCTATTCCATGTAAGTTTGTGTAACTACACGCTATGACGTTTGCACAGAGACAGATATGATGGTGCTATACAAAGTAAGTCTAGAAGAGAGACAGGTTGGCTGCTAATTCAACCAATATTTACTGGCATCCTAGCAGTATAAACCATGGAAGTGTAAGCAAGGTTAAATGTACTTAGTCTTGAAGGAGCCTCTGATGACAGTGTCAAGTGGTCACTGCTGTAATGACGTTCTGAACAAGGGCCACATTTAAGGGTGCCTAGGACAGCTGAAGACTGTTGACTTTAGATAGACTTGAGCCGAAGTCTTCAAAAAGAGTGAGGAGGAGAAAACCTGTAACACTCCAGGGATTCTGATATAAGCCACTTTTATGTGGATAATTCCAAGGCTGGCTTTGGTGAGATTATTACCATCGTTAAGGCTGTTGTTTGAATATGATAATTCAAGTAAAGCACTTTGGTACGCTGCACGACACATAGTAAATGATTAATTGGTAGCAATTATTCATAAATTACTGTCTGTTCTCCCCAAGCTTCTAGGCTTCCCTAATTAAAATTCTGATAGCTTTAAAGCTTTTCAAGTTCCAATGCGTAATTACTGTTACAAAGCAGTAACTTGTCTGAATCACCAGCAGCCTCTAGTACAATATTAGAAGCTTCCAGTTATTTAGTTAAGACTTCAGCAACTAGAGCCATTTCTGGAATACTCTATGTGGACTCTGCCACTTGACTAAACTTCATTAAATTCCAATCCAGATACCCATCCCCTCAGAGGAGGAGGACAGGACAGTTATGCCTGCAGTTATAAACTGAGAAGTGTTGTGTTCCAAGCTCTGCATGGAATTGGGTAAATTAGCTACAAGCCTGAAATAAGGAAGTATGCATCTGCGTTTTTTTCTTTCCAGCACAGAAGATAAGAAACCACTTTCAGGGCAAGGACAAATACCTTCTTATACCCCAGTATCTAGCACACAGGCACTCAGTTATTTTTGGAGAAGAAAATCTACCATAATACCACTCTCTCAACTAATACATTTTTCACCTAACATGCTTTTTCTGAATATTAAAAAAACTGTGATAAGATACTTGGAGTATATACTTCTGGCCTTTATTTTCCTGTGTGCCCAAGGCTATTTTTCCAAAAATGGGACCATGATGGCGTGTTTTTTGTAGAAACTTTTCCAGTATTACTGAATAATCTAATGATTTTTAAAATGAAGTTTCAAATATTTTAAAAATAAATCATCCATGTGGCAAATTAAAAAAACTCAATAGAAACATAAACGAAGTGTATTCTTCCATGATGATAACACTATTAAATTACTTGGGAATCCTTCCAGAGAAAAATAAATGCACTTACCTCAATGTATATGTGCTTTATTTCCACAAATGGGTCACATTCTATACACTGTTCTGCATCTAGGGTTTTTATTGAGATATAATTCACAGACCAGAACGTTTACATTTTAAAGTGTATAATTCAGTGGCTCTTAGTATATTTACAAGGTTGTATGACTTATCGCAACTGTCTAATTCCAGGATCTTTCTGTCACCTTGAAAAGAAACCTGTTAGCAGTCAGTCCTCATTCCTCCCTCCTGCATGCCCCAGCAGTGACTGATGTACTTTCTGTCTTCATAGATTTGGCTCTCCTGGGCACTTCATATGCAAGGAATCATACAGTATTGTGGCACTTTGCGACTAGCTTTTTTTTCACTAAACATAATGTTTCCAAGGTTCACTCATGCTGTGGCATGTATCAGTACTTCATTCTGTTGTGGCCACATAGTATTCTATTGTGTGGATATATCACATTTTGTTTATCCATTCACCAGTAATGGACATATGGGTTGTTTCCACTTTTTAGCAATTTTGAATCATGGTGCCATGAACATTCATGTGGAAACTTGTGTGTGAACGTAGTTTTCAATTCAAACTACGATAAGATACTTGGAGTGTATACATCTGGCCTTTATTTTCCTGTGTGCCCAAGGCTATTTTTCCAAAAATGAGACCATGATAGCATGTTCTTATAGAAACTTTTCCTGTATTACTGAATAATCTAATGATTTTTAAAATGAAGTTTCAAATATTTTAAAAATTATCCATGTGGCAAATTTGAAAAACTCAATAGAAACATAAACGAAGTGTATTCTTCCATGATGATAACAGTATTAAATTACTTGGGAATCCTTCCAGAGAATGGCAGAAGTATATACACTTGTGAGTGGAATTGCTCAGTCAAATGGATAACTCTATCTTTAACTTTTTGCAGAAATGCCAAATTTGTCCAGAGTATCTACACCATTTTACATTCCCACCAGCAATGTTTGAGGGTTCCAATTTTTTCCACTTCCTTGCAACATTTGCTATTTACCATTTTCTTGATCTTAGCCATCCTAGTGAGTATAAAGTGGTATCTCACTGTGATTTTCATTTGCATGTTCCTAATGACTAATGATATCAAGCATCTTTTCATGTACTTATTGGCCATTTGAGAATCTTCTTTGGAGAAATGTTTATTCAAATCCTTTGCCCATTTTTTTTTAAAGAGGCAAGGTCTTGCTTTGTTGCCTAGGCTGGAATGCAGCAGTACAATCATAGCTCACTGCAGCCTTAAAGTCCTGAGTCCAAGTGATCCTCCTGCCTCAGCCTCCCAAGTAGCTAAGACTAAAGGCGCAACACCCTGCCTGGCTAATTTTTTTATTTTTTATTTTTGTAGAGTTGGGATATCACTATGTTGCCCAGGCTGGCCGCAGGCAATCCTCTCACTTCAGCCTCCTAAAGTGCTGGGATTACAGGTGTGAGCCATCACACTGGCCTCATTGTCCATATTTTAATTGGGTTAGTCTTTTTATTGTAGAGTTTAAGAATGTTTTCTATATCCTGGATACTATGCTCTTACATATGACTTTAAAAAAGAAATAGAGAGGGGGTCTTGCCATGTTGACCAGGCTGGTCTGAAACTTCCCGCCTCAAACAATTCTCCCATCTCAGCCTCCCAAAGTGTTGGGATTACAGGTGTGAGCCACCGCACCTGGTGGTTTACATGTGATTTGCAAACATTTTCTCCCTTTCTGTGAGTTATCTTTTTATTTTTTGATAATGTCCTTTGAAGCACAAAAGTTTTAAATTTTGATGGAGTCCAGTTTACCTATTTTTCTGCCCCCCCCCCACCTTTATTTTTTTTTTTTTAAATCAAGCTCCTTCCATGTTAGCACTTGAAGGCCCACGTCATTTCTTATCTGCATGGAACTTGCATTGTAAGGAATTCTATTGTAATTTCTTTAACACTTTTTAAAAATTAATGGACTGGGTTTTTCAGGTTTTTTTCTGACCATTCTTGAGCATATATCTTATACATAGCTTTGGCTGGGCATGGTGGCTCACCCCTATAATTCTATCACTTTGGGAGGCTGAAGCAGGAGGACCACTTGAGCCCAGGAGTTCAAGACCAGATGACCGGGCAAGAAAGTGAGACCTTATCTCTCTAAAAAAAAAAAAGAAAAGAAAAGGAAAAAATCCCCAAGTAACTTCATAGCGTAAATTCTAAAAGTGGAATTGCTGGATCAAAGGGGGCATGTGTTTAAAATCTTGGCAGATATTACCAAATTTCCCTCTTAACAGTATAAATGCCTGTTCCTCCTCCGTCCCACCCCCATAACTATACTGGCTCTGATGAGACCTTGGTTTTCTGTAAAAGCTCTATTTAGAGGTGTATCATTATTTACTTAATTGTTCTCCTTTACAACCCACCTGGGATGAGCATCTTGCCTAGAAGTCTCTACTTGCACAGGATACATACGAAATAGAATTGAGGATTCAAAAGCAGATACAGAACTCTTCCCACTTACTTTCTTACCCTTGTGTGTGTCTCCCCACAGGGTTACAAGTGTATAACAAGTGTTGGAAGTTTGAGCATTGCAATTTCAACGACGTCACAACCCGCTTGAGGGAAAATGAGCTAACGTACTACTGCTGCAAGAAGGACCTGTGTAACTTTAACGAACAGCTTGAAAATGGTGGGACATCCTTATCAGAGAAAACAGTTCTTCTGCTGGTGACTCCATTTCTGGCAGCAGCCTGGAGCCTTCATCCCTAAGTCAACACCAGGAGAGCTTCTCCCAAACTCCCCGTTCCTGCGTAGTCCGCTTTCTCTTGCTGCCACATTCTAAAGGCTTGATATTTTCCAAATGGATCCTGTTGGGAAAGAATAAAATTAGCTTGAGCAACCTGGCTAAGATAGAGGGGCTCTGGGAGACTTTGAAGACCAGTCCTGTTTGCAGGGAAGCCCCACTTGAAGGAAGAAGTCTAAGAGTGAAGTAGGTGTGACTTGAACTAGATTGCATGCTTCCTCCTTTGCTCTTGGGAAGACCAGCTTTGCAGTGACAGCTTGAGTGGGTTCTCTGCAGCCCTCAGATTATTTTTCCTCTGGCTCCTTGGATGTAGTCAGTTAGCATCATTAGTACATCTTTGGAGGGTGGGGCAGGAGTATATGAGCATCCTCTCTCACATGGAACGCTTTCATAAACTTCAGGGATCCCGTGTTGCCATGGAGGCATGCCAAATGTTCCATATGTGGGTGTCAGTCAGGGACAACAAGATCCTTAATGCAGAGCTAGAGGACTTCTGGCAGGGAAGTGGGGAAGTGTTCCAGATAGCAGGGCATGAAAACTTAGAGAGGTACAAGTGGCTGAAAATCGAGTTTTTCCTCTGTCTTTAAATTTTATATGGGCTTTGTTATCTTCCACTGGAAAAGTGTAATAGCATACATCAATGGTGTGTTAAAGCTATTTCCTTGCCTTTTTTTTATTGGAATGGTAGGATATCTTGGCTTTGCCACACACAGTTACAGAGTGAACACTCTACTACATGTGACTGGCAGTATTAAGTGTGCTTATTTTAAATGTTACTGGTAGAAAGGCAGTTCAGGTATGTGTGTATATAGTATGAATGCAGTGGGGACACCCTTTGTGGTTACAGTTTGAGACTTCCAAAGGTCATCCTTAATAACAACAGATCTGCAGGGGTATGTTTTACCATCTGCATCCAGCCTCCTGCTAACTCCTAGCTGACTCAGCATAGATTGTATAAAATACCTTTGTAACGGCTCTTAGCACACTCACAGATGTTTGAGGCTTTCAGAAGCTCTTCTAAAAAATGATACACACCTTTCACAAGGGCAAACTTTTTCCTTTTCCCTGTGTATTCTAGTGAATGAATCTCAAGATTCAGTAGACCTAATGACATTTGTATTTTATGATCTTGGCTGTATTTAATGGCATAGGCTGACTTTTGCAGATGGAGGAATTTCTTGATTAATGTTGAAAAAAAACCCTTGATTATACTCTGTTGGACAAACCGAGTGCAATGAATGATGCTTTTCTGAAAATGAAATATAACAAGTGGGTGAATGTGGTTATGGCCGAAAAGGATATGCAGTATGCTTAATGGTAGCAACTGAAAGAAGACATCCTGAGCAGTGCCAGCTTTCTTCTGTTGATGCCGTTCCCTGAACATAGGAAAATAGAAACTTGCTTATCAAAACTTAGCATTACCTTGGTGCTCTGTGTTCTCTGTTAGCTCAGTGTCTTTCCTTACATCAATAGGTTTTTTTTTTTTTTTTTGGCCTGAGGAAGTACTGACCATGCCCACAGCCACCGGCTGAGCAAAGAAGCTCATTTCATGTGAGTTCTAAGGAATGAGAAACAATTTTGATGAATTTAAGCAGAAAATGAATTTCTGGGAACTTTTTTGGGGGCGGGGGGGTGGGGAATTCAGCCACACTCCAGAAAGCCAGGAGTCGACAGTTTTGGAAGCCTCTCTCAGGATTGAGATTCTAGGATGAGATTGGCTTACTGCTATCTTGTGTCATGTACCCACTTTTTGGCCAGACTACACTGGGAAGAAGGTAGTCCTCTAAAGCAAAATCTGAGTGCCACTAAATGGGGAGATGGGGCTGTTAAGCTGTCCAAATCAACAAGGGTCATATAAATGGCCTTAAACTTTGGGGTTGCTTTCTGCAAAAAGTTGCTGTGACTCATGCCATAGACAAGGTTGAGTGCCTGGACCCAAAGGCAATACTGTAATGTAAAGACATTTATAGTACTAGGCAAACAGCACCCCAGGTACTCCAGGCCCTCCTGGCTGGAGAGGGCTGTGGCAATAGAAAATTAGTGCCAACTGCAGTGAGTCAGCCTAGGTTAAATAGAGAGTGTAAGAGTGCTGGACAGGAACCTCCACCCTCATGTCACATTTCTTCAATGTGACCCTTCTGGCCCCTCTCCTCCTGACAGCGGAACAATGACTGCCCCGATAGGTGAGGCTGGAGGAAGAATCAGTCCTGTCCTTGGCAAGCTCTTCACTATGACAGTAAAGGCTCTCTGCCTGCTGCCAAGGCCTGTGACTTTCTAACCTGGCCTCACGCTGGGTAAGCTTAAGGTAGAGGTGCAGGATTAGCAAGCCCACCTGGCTACCAGGCCGACAGCTACATCCTCCAACTGACCCTGATCAACGAAGAGGGATTCATGTGTCTGTCTCAGTTGGTTCCAAATGAAACCAGGGAGCAGGGGAGTTAGGAATCGAACACCAGTCATGCCTACTGGCTCTCTGCTCGAGAGCCAATACCCTGTGCCCTCCACTCATCTGGATTTACAGGAACTGTCATAGTGTTCAGTATTGGGTGGTGATAAGCCCATTGGATTGTCCCCTTGGGGGGATGAGCTAGGGGTGCAAGGAACACCTGATGAGTAGATAAGTGGAGCTCATGGTATTTCCTGAAAGATGCTAATCTATTTGCCAAACTTGGTCTTGAATGTACTGGGGGCTTCAAGGTATGGGTATATTTTTCTTGTGTCCTTGCAGTTAGCCCCCATGTCTTATGTGTGTCCTGAAAAAATAAGAGCCTGCCCAAGACTTTGGGCCTCTTGACAGAATTAACCACTTTTATACATCTGAGTTCTCTTGGTAAGTTCTTTAGCAGTGTTCAAAGTCTACTAGCTCGCATTAGTTTCTGTTGCTGCCAACAGATCTGAACTAATGCTAACAGATCCCCCTGAGGGATTCTTGATGGGCTGAGCAGCTGGCTGGAGCTAGTACTGACTGACATTCATTGTGATGAGGGCAGCTTTCTGGTACAGGATTCTAAGCTCTATGTTTTATATACATTTTCATCTGTACTTGCACCTCACTTTACACAAGAGGAAACTATGCAAAGTTAGCTGGATCGCTCAAGGTCACTTAGGTAAGTTGGCAAGTCCATGCTTCCCACTCAGCTCCTCAGGTCAGCAAGTCTACTTCTCTGCCTATTTTGTATACTCTCTTTAATATGTGCCTAGCTTTGGAAAGTCTAGAATGGGTCCCTGGTGCCTTTTTACTTTGAAGAAATCAGTTTCTGCCTCTTTTTGGAAAAGAAAACAAAGTGCAATTGTTTTTTACTGGAAAGTTACCCAATAGCATGAGGTGAACAGGACGTAGTTAGGCCTTCCTGTAAACAGAAAATCATATCAAAACACTATCTTCCCATCTGTTTCTCAATGCCTGCTACTTCTTGTAGATATTTCATTTCAGGAGAGCAGCAGTTAAACCCGTGGATTTTGTAGTTAGGAACCTGGGTTCAAACCCTCTTCCACTAATTGGCTATGTCTCTGGACAAGTTTTTTTTTTTTTTTTTTTTTAAACCCTTTCTGAACTTTCACTTTCTATGTCTACCTCAAAGAATTGTTGTGAGGCTTGAGATAATGCATTTGTAAAGGGTCTGCCAGATAGGAAGATGCTAGTTATGGATTTACAAGGTTGTTAAGGCTGTAAGAGTCTAAAACCTACAGTGAATCACAATGCATTTACCCCCACTGACTTGGACATAAGTGAAAACTAGCCAGAAGTCTCTTTTTCAAATTACTTACAGGTTATTCAATATAAAATTTTTGTAATGGATAATCTTATTTATCTAAACTAAAGCTTCCTGTTTATACACACTCCTGTTATTCTGGGATAAGATAAATGACCACAGTACCTTAATTTCTAGGTGGGTGCCTGTGATGGTTCATTGTAGGTAAGGACATTTTCTCTTTTTCAGCAGCTGTGTAGGTCCAGAGCCTCTGGGAGAGGAGGGGGGTAGCATGCACCCAGCAGGGGACTGAACTGGGAAACTCAAGGTTCTTTTTACTGTGGGGTAGTGAGCTGCCTTTCTGTGATCGGTTTCCCTAGGGATGTTGCTGTTCCCCTCCTTGCTATTCGCAGCTACATACAACGTGGCCAACCCCAGTAGGCTGATCCTATATATGATCAGTGCTGGTGCTGACTCTCAATAGCCCCACCCAAGCTGGCTATAGGTTTACAGATACATTAATTAGGCAACCTAAAATATTGATGCTGGTGTTGGTGTGACATAATGCTATGGCCAGAACTGAAACTTAGAGTTATAATTCATGTATTAGGGTTCTCCAGAGGGACAGAATTAGTAGGATATATGTATATATGAAAGGGAGGTTATTAGGGAGAACTGGCTCCCACAGTTAGAAGGCGAAGTCGCACAATAGGCCGTCTGCAAGCTGGGTTAGAGAGAAGCCAGTAGTGGCTCAGCCTGAGTTCAAAAACCTCAAAACTGGGGAAGCTGACAGTGCAGCCAGCCTTCAGTCTGTGGCCAAAGGCCCAAGAGCCCCTGGCAACCAACCCACTGGTGCAAGTCCTAGATTCCAAAGGCTGAAGAACCTGGAGTCTGATGTCCAAGAGCAGGAAGAGTGGAAGAAAGCCAGAAGACTCAGCAAACAAGGTAGACAGTGTCTACCACCATAGTGGCCATACCAAAGAGGCTACCGATTCCTTCCTGCTACCTGGATCCCTGAAGTTGCCCTGGTCTCTGCACCTTCTAAACCTAGTTCTTAAGAGCTTTCCATTACATGAGCTGTCTCAAAGCCCTCCAATAAATTCTCAGTGTAAGCTTCTGTTGCTTGTGGACAGAAAATTCTGACAGACCTACCCTATAAGTGTTACTGTCAGGATAACATGAGAACGCACAACAGTAAGTGGTCACTAAGTGTTAGCTACGGTTATTTTGCCCAAGGTAGCATGGCTAGTTGATGCCGGTTGATGGGGCTTAAACCCAGCTCCCTCATCTTCCAGGCCTCTGTACTCCCTATTCCACTAAACTACCTCTCAGGTTTATTTTTTTAAATTCTTACTCTGCAAGTACATAGGACCACATTTACCTGGGAAAACAAGAATAAAGGCTGCTCTGCATTTTTTAGAAACTTTTTTGAAAGGGAGATGGGAATGCCTGCACCCCCAAGTCCAGACCAACACAATGGTTAATTGAGATGAATAATAAAGGAAAGACTGTTCTGGGCTTCCCAGAATAGCTTGGTCCTTAAATTGTGGCACAAACAACCTCCTGTCAGAGCCAGCCTCCTGCCAGGAAGAGGGGTAGGAGACTAGAGGCCGTGTGTGCAGCCTTGCCCTGAAGGCTAGGGTGACAATTTGGAGGCTGTCCAAACACCCTGGCCTCTAGAGCTGGCCTGTCTATTTGAAATGCCGGCTCTGATGCTAATCGGCGACCCTCAGGCAAGTTACTTAACCTTACATGCCTCAGTTTTCTCATCTGGAAAATGAGAACCCTAGGTTTAGGGTTGTTAGAAAAGTTAAATGAGTTAAGACAAGTGCCTGGGACACAGTAGCCTCTTGTGTGTGTTTATCATTATGTCCTCAGCAGGTCGTAGAAGCAGCTTCTCAGGTGTGAGGCTGGCGCGATTATCTGGAGTGGGTTGGGTTTTCTAGGATGGACCCCCTGCTGCATTTTCCTCATTCATCCACCAGGGCTTAATGGGGAATCAAGGAATCCATGTGTAACTGTATAATAACTGTAGCCACACTCCAATGACCACCTACTAGTTGTCCCTGGCACTGCTTATACATATGTCCATCAAATCAATCCTATGAAGTAGATACTGTCTTCATTTTATAGATCAGAGACAATTGGGGTTCAGAGAGCTGATGTGATTTTCCCAGGGTCACAGAGAGTCCCAGATTCAGGCACAACTCTTGTATTCCAAGACACAACCACTACATGTCCAAAGGCTGCCCAGAGCCACCGGGCACGGCAAATTGTGACATATCCCTAAAGAGGCTGAGCACCTGGTCAGGATCTGATGGCTGACAGTGTGTCCAGATGCAGAGCTGGAGTGGGGGAGGGGAAGGGGGGCTCCTTGGGACAGAGAAGGCTTTCTGTGCTTTCTCTGAAGGGAGCAGTCTGAGGACCAAGGGAACCCGGCAAACAGCACCTCAGGTACTCCAGGCCCTCCTGGCTGGAGAGGGCTGTGGCAATGGAAAATTAGTGCCAACTGCAATGAGTCAGCCTCGGTTAAATAGAGAGTGAAGAATGCTGGACAGGAACCTCCACCCTCATGTCACATTTCTTCAGTGTGACCCTTCTGGCCCCTCTCCTCCTGACAGCGGAACAATGACTGCCCCGATAGGTGAGGCTGGAGGAAGAATCAGTCCTGTCCTTGGCAAGCTCTTCACTATGACAGTAAAGGCTCTCTGCCTGCTGCCAAGGCCTGTGACTTTCTAACCTGGCCTCACGCTGGGTAAGCTTAAGGTAGAGGTGCAGGATTAGCAAGCCCACCTGGCTACCAGGCCGACAGCTACATCTTTCAACTGACCCTGATCAACGAAGAGGGACTTGTGTCTCTCAGTTGGTTCCAAATGAAACCAGGGAGCAGGGGCGTTAGGAAGCTCCAACAGGATGGTACTTAATGGGGCATTTGAGTGGAGAGGTAGGTGACATAGTGCTTTGGAGCCCAGGGAGGGAAAGGTTCTGCTGAAGTTGAATTCAAGACTGTTCTTTCATCACAAACTTGAGTTTCCTGGACATTTGTTTGCAGAAACAACCGTAGGGTTTTGCCTTAACCTCGTGGGTTTATTATTACCTCATAGGGACTTTGCCTCCTGACAGCAGTTTATGGGTGTTCATTGTGGCACTTGAGTTTTCTTGCATACTTGTTAGAGAAACCAAGTTTGTCATCAACTTCTTATTTAACCCCCTGGCTATAACTTCATGGATTATGTTATAATTAAGCCATCCAGAGTAAAATCTGTTTAGATTATCTTGGAGTAAGGGGGAAAAAATCTGTAATTTTTTCTCCTCAACTAGATATATACATAAAAAATGATTGTATTGCTTCATTTAAAAAATATAACGCAAAATCTCTTTTCCTTCTAAGGGCCTTTAATATGTAATAACAAGAGCTAATGTTGAACACAAGCCATTGCCAGGTACTTAAACTGTCTCACTTAGTCTTGCCAACCTAAGCAAGTAGATGCCATTACTATTCCCATTATATTGATGAAAAAATGAGGTTGAGAAAGGTTCAGCCGCACAGCCAAATACATAGTGGATCCAGGGTTTGGTCCCAAGTCTTGAGTCCAAAACCCTGGTTCTTACCATTACTGTGGTTCTGTAGGGGTGAAAAAATTTTTCTTCTAATCTCTTAGGTTCAGAGCCTGGGGCCTGAGAATTAAACTGACAAAGACAGATTAACAGAAGACAAAGTTTATTACGCAGGTACATGGGGTTCTTACAGAAACAAAGTGAAAACCCAAAGAAGTGGCTTGAGAGCTTATATACAATTTTAACAATGGGCGATTGTAGAAAAGTGATAAGACAAAGGAAAAGAGGTTTGAGCTTCTTGGGCAGTAAATTATGGGAAGTTAAATATGTGGGGGAAACTAATGGAAGATAAGGGTATTTTTTATTTTATTTTATTTTATTTATTTTGAGACAGGGTCCTGCCTTGTCACCCAGGCTGGAGTGCAGTGCTATGATTGTGGCTCACTGCAGCCTCAACCTCAGCCTCCTTGGTTCAAGAAATCCTCCCACTTCAGCTCCTGAGTGGCTCCAGGCAAATGCCACCACACCTGGTTAATTTTTTAAATTATTTTATAGAGACAGAATCTCGCTATGTTGCCCCTGGCTGTTCTCAAACTCTTGGCCTCAAGAGATCCCACCTCAGACTCCCAGAGTGCTGGGATTACAGGCTGGGTGCTGAGCTATCGCACATGGCCTGTATTAGCCATAGACTGAGGGGAAATACATTTTCTTGAGAGCCTCAGCCTAGTGATCACTTGTATGAATAAACAATGATGGGTGGCTGCCAAAGTCAGAGAGCAAATACTGCGTGTGACAACTAAGTGTGGGAAGCTCAGTGTGGGAAGAAAAAGCTTCCCAGTTTCAGACATGCCCCTTAGTAGGGACAGCTGCCTCTTGTGTTTGGACAAAGTGTCCAAGTTCAAGTGTTTCACACACACACTGTTCCGTCTTCTGTTTGATCACAACCCTATGAGGCAGCCTGGTTTTCTTATTTCTATTTTATGGAAAACCTACTTAAAAGTCAAGCAACTTGTCCAAGGCTACCCAGCTTGAATATCTGACTCTCTCCACTTTGCTGCTACACACACACACACACACACACACACACTTTGCACTGTGTGTGCAGATACATATGCATATATATATTTAACTTGTGAAGCTGATACTGACTCTTTAACTGCCCTCCACCCATCACTAGTCATACCAGTGATCATTAGGCAGAGGCTCTCAAGAAAATGTATTAGTTATTTCCCCTCAGTCTATGGCTAATACAGGTTACTCACATAAATGAGCTGTCATGTCCTTTGGACAAAATGTCCAAATCGCTCATAAGCAATGGGTGAAGTATTTGAGGTAGGGCGGACAGGATTTCCTTTTGGTGGTTAGCTCGTTGCCTGTTAGCTCCTGGTGATATCTGTGTTTGGAAGAGAACTAAACTGCATTTCACTGAAAACACTCCTTCAGGTCTATTACAAACCAGATGAGGATCCCCTTTTCTAGAATCTTCCTCAACACTGCTAACGTTTGGCAGATACATAGGTTGGCTCTAACAGCCATTCCCAATCAATCCTCTTCTCCTTTGTCTGCCTCCCACAGTAGTGGATGAAAAATCAGACACTGATTTTCTCAGACTTCTTTGCTGTGGGCGCGGCCAGTGAGGCAATGAGGTAAGTCTGCTGGTGCAGGGGCCAGGTTTCTAGGAAATACTTTTCTCCCTCATGGGAGAAAGAGAGGAAGCCTGAAGTAAGCTTTCTTCTGCAGCCCTGGCCCGCTGCCTGTTCTGGATGAGGGTATGCTGGGATATGACAACGGAAGCCAGCGGGGTCGCAGAGCAAGAGCGAGGCGGTGGGCGGAGTCGAGGGACGGGAGGCGAGGCGAGGCGAGCCAGGGGGCGTGGCTTTCTAACTGCGGGGTGCGGCCAGCCGAGGTGGGCGGGGCCGCGTTCCGGGACGTGGTCGTCCGGGCTTTGGAACCCCGCCTGTTAGGGGCCGGGCTGAGGCGAAAGGGTGGGGCCGCGCTCCATCGGGGCGGGGCTTGTGGAACCTCGAAACCCCGGCGACTCGGGGCCTGAGCGCGCGTCTCCCGGCGCGGGGTTCCTCCCACGCAGACCCTCATTCAAACGATGCCAAAGGGGCGGCGCGGCAGCCACAGCCCCACCATGAGCCAGCGGTCGGCTCCGCCCCTCTATTTCCCGTCCCTGTACGACCGCGGCATCTCCTCGTCCCCGCTCAGCGACTTCAACATCTGGAAGAAGCTCTTCGTGCCGCTGAAGGCGGGCGGGGCGCCAGTGGGCGGGGCGGCGGGGGCCCGGTCCCTGTCCCAGGCGCTCCCCGCCCCGGCGCCCCCGCCCCCGCCACCACCCGGCCTGGGTCCCTCCAGCGAGCGCCCCTGGCCCTCGCCCTGGCCCTCCGGCCTGGCCTCCATCCCCTACGAGCCTCTGCGCTTCTTCTACTCACCGCCGCCGGGGCCTGAGGTGGTTGCCTCGCCCCTGGTCCCCTGCCCCTCGACCCCCAGGCTCGCCTCTGCCTCCCACCCGGAGGAGCTCTGCGAGCTGGAGATCCGGATTAAGGAGCTGGAGTTGCTCACCATCACTGGGGACGGCTTCGACTCCCAGAGCTGTGCGTGACCTCGCCAGGGCCACCGAGCCCAGCCTTAGCCTGCCCTAGCTCCCTCCTTGGCTCCGTGCCCCGACCCGAAATGTAGCCTGGTTTGACTCCAGCCCCCAGTAGTCCCAGATCCAAAATCTATCCCCTAGCACCCAGACTCCCTTATCCTGGACTTAACCGACTCCTCCCCCCACCACAGATCTGAACTTCATGAGCCTCTTAGTCCCAAACTCCATCCTCCCTCCGTCCTAAACCCTTTGGGTCATCTGGACTCTGAGCCTCCACACCTGGAACTCCATCCGCCACCACCCCGTCCTGAACTTTAATCCTCCTGCACAGTCATCCTCCTACCCTGTACTCTGGAGCTCCACCCACCACAGACAGTCCCTAAGCTTTAATGTTCGGTCCTAAACCGGGGCTCTCCATGGGGGGAAGGTGAAGTAAGGTGACTGTCAGTTGTCTGTAGGGGGAGGTGGGAGTTGTGCAAGAACCACAAGGCCCAAGGCCGTTTCCAGGGCAGCTTTGGGACACTCCACTTCTCAATGCTGGGGGGCAGCCCCCCTGGGACTCTGTGGCCTTGGCGCCGGTAGTTCTCTCACCAGGATCCTGGGCTGATATCTGGTCTTACGTCTGAAGTCTTAGGGCTCTGGACCACGTGTGCTGATGCGGGCAGGATCCCTCAGCCTACGAGCTGAATGACTCCTCCCTGTTGGAGGGTAAAGTTGTTAAATGCCTTGTACTCCAAGAAGGACCTATTGCAAAGTAGAACTTTCAGTAGCGGTAGGTTGTCCTGCAGACTTTGTCTTTCCCATCACTTGTTTTGGCTAAGGCTTGTCCTTGACCACTGGAGAAGGGCAGATAGTTCTAAAAAGATCATTCCAACTATCGTATATAACGGCTTAAGTTGGCTTCCCCTGCCACACAGAGAAGGGAAGTATGAAATAACCTAAATGCTTAGGTCCGTGTGGCCATGGAAATGGTCTTCAGTTCATCAGACACACTGTAATGCACCCTTTCTCATAGCCATGGAAGGAAGACAGTCCCTAGAAAAACTGGGCTTTGCTAAGTCCTGGATTTCTTAACTATGAATACATACATAATACTATGTATTCATAGTTAAGAAATCTTAACCGAATACATAGTTAAGAAATCCAGGGGCCGGGTGTGGTGGCTGGCACTTGTAATCTCAGCACTTTGGGGGGGCCAATGCGGGTGGA
This sequence comes from Homo sapiens, assembly GCF_000001405.40. Classification (NCBI taxonomy): domain Eukaryota; kingdom Metazoa; phylum Chordata; class Mammalia; order Primates; family Hominidae; genus Homo; species Homo sapiens. The sequence continues at coordinate 33,699,039 of NC_000011.10, read as the reverse complement.
TCATTTGAGGTCAGGAGCCTGACCAACAAGAGGATCATTGAGGACCAGCCTGACCAACATGGTAAAACCCTGTCTCTACTAAAATACAAAAATGAGCCGGGCTTGGTGGCACACATTTGTAATCTCATCTACTCGGGAGGATGAGGCAGGAGAATCGCTTGAACCCAGGAGGCCGAGGTTGCAGTAAGCCAAGATTGTGCCACTGCACTCCAACCTGGGTGAAAGAGTGAGACTCCCTCTCAAAAAAAAAAAAAAAAAAAAAAAATTAGAAGAAGAAGAAATCCAGGACTTAGCAACTCTGACTGTAAAAACACATGTAACTGGATGTGTTGCATGTACAGTCAGAACCAGTTACATGTTTTTACAGTCAGAGTTTTCAGTTTTTTGTTTTTTTCTCTCCCATCTTGGATCACAAATGGAGTTTTAGGGTCGAGGAAGCACAGTTGCTTCCCAAGAGTTTGCTTTGGAAGTGTTAGGAAAAGCCCTTATCTCTATTACGGCTAAGTTTGTTTTGCTCTCCTGCAGACACATTCCTGAAGGCGCTAAAAGACGAAAAGTTACAAGGACTGAAGACCAAGCAACCTGGAAAGAAGTCGGCCTCTCTCTCCTGAGGAGCTGCCTACCAGAGCTTGGGCAGCCACCTCCTTAGGTGTTAGTGCTTAGATAATGTGTCCCATTTGTTGTCATTTCAAAGATGGTTATTTTCTGTTCTGTATTTACCGCTGTTCTTGTTGCTACCAGCATGTACTTCACATACAGTGCCCACTTTGTGTGGTAAATCTCATGGTCTCTCTCCTCTCTATGTGCTGCTGAGGGAGCTCTCTCATGGTGTCTAGAAGCTGCTGTCCAGCCAGCATTCAAGGTCTCCCGAGACCAGGGAGGGAACCCCCAACACTACCACAGTCATGCAAACCAGAACAACAGATTATCAGGAAGGAATCGGGAGAAACCAAGGGCAATGTATATATTGGTTCTACTGCTGTGTCTCTGCTCAGAAAGGTTCTTTGAGGACTGGAATAGTGGAGGTTTGGTGTGTGGTTTGTTTTTTTTCCCAAACATATTTACTCCTTGGAAGTGGTTGGTGTTTTCATTTTTTTTAAAATGTTTTTTGGACCACAAACTCTCTGATAATCTTATCAAAGCCCTGGACCTTCCTAGAAATTCATATATTCAAGAAATATTTATTGAGTGCTTATTTTGTGCCTAGGCACTTGGGATTGGGGGTGGGGGAGAGACAGACAATAAATATTATAAATAAGTAAATCATAATATGGTATCATAGAAGATGACATGCTAAGGGGGAAAAAAAAGCAGAGTAAGGATTGCCAGGGTGGGTCAGAGGAAGGCAGGGCAGAATTTCACATGGGGTTTCTTGAAGACGTATTATTTAAACAAGGTCTGAAGGAGGTTGAGGGTCATAGCCACGTGACACCCTAGGGAATGTGCCAGGTAGAAGGGCCAGTGCAAAGGCTGCTTCAAAGATGGGAGCATGGCAGCATTTTTGAGAACCAGCAAACAGTCCAGATGGCTGGAGCAGGAGGAGTGAGGGGAGAGTGGTAGGGGTGAATACACAGGGGGCCCATTTGTATAGAGCCTTATAGTCACAGTAAGGACTCTGGGCTTTACTCCAAGTGGGACAGAGTCATTAGACAGCCTTCTGGGGAGTGACAGGATCTGACTTGTGCTGCTGTGATATGAATAGACTACCGGGGTGCAAGCAAGGAGGCAGGGAGAGCAGTCAGGAGGCTGTAGTAATTAATATTCCAGCTAAAAAGACCATGCTGAGCCCGGCGTGGTGGTGCACACCTGTAGTCCCAGCTACTCAGGAGGCTGGGGTGGGAAGGATCGCTTGACCCCAGGTGTTCAAAGTTACAGTGAGCTATGACCATGCCACTGGCATGCCAGCTTGGGCAACAGAGCAAGACCCTGTCTCTAAAAATTAACCAAGTAAAAGATCATGCGGGTAGCAGTGGGTGTGGTGAGAAGTATCAGGCAATTGAAGCACAGAGTGGTAATCTAAGATAGGAGAACACAGGTGGAACAGGTTTTGGTGAGAAGGAGGAGCACAGGTGGAACAGCTTTTGGGGAGACAATCAGCAGTTTTATTTGGGATATGTGAAGTTTTTGGTGTCTGGTAGACCTCCTGGTGGAGAAGCTGTGTAGCAGGGGCCCATATAAGCCTGGAGTTCAGGAGAAAGCCTGGGCTGGAGGTACACGTTGGGGAGTTGCTGACAGGTAGGTTTATTTAAAAAACGAAGTCAAATGAAATCACTGAGGGAGTGAGGGTAGGGAGAAAGAGAACCAAATATTGAGGGTGGAGGCACTCTCACTTAAGAAGATGGGGAGAACAGGAGGAACCTGCAAAGGAGAATGAAAAGGAGTGGAGTCAGGTGTCTCGGCAGCCAAAGGAGGAAGTGGTCGCCTCTGACAGACTGTGCCGACAGGCCAAGTAAGGTGAGCCTGAGAATTTGCCCTTGGATTTTGCCGCATGTTAGTACTGATCTTGCCAGAACAGTTTTGGTTGAGTGATAGGGGTAATGCCTGACTGGAGTGGTATTAAAAGTGAATGAAAGGGGATGATTTGGAGACAATGGGTGTAGCTCACTCTTTAGAGGAGTTAAGCTGCAGAAGATCACAGAGAATGAGAGCAGTAGCTGGTAGGGCAAGTGGGGATAA